>NC_000021.9:12046733-12280944 GCF_000001405.40 Homo sapiens
GCTGGAAAGAAGCATTCTGTGAAACTTGTTTGTGATGTGTGTACTCAACTAACAGAGTTGAACCTTTCTTTTTACAGAGCAGTTTTGAAATACTCTTTTTGTAGAATCTGCGAGGGGATATTTGGATAGATTTCAGGATTTCGTTGGAAACGGGAATATCTTCATATAAAATCTCGACAGAAGCATTCTCAGAAACTTCTTTGTGATATGTGCATTCAAGTTACAGAGTTGAATATTCCCTTTCACAGAGTAGGTTTGAAACACTCTTTTTGTAGTATCTGGAAGTGGACATTTGGAGCGCCTTGACGCCTACGGTGAAAAGGGAAATATCTTCTCATAAAAAGTAGACAGAAGCAATCTCAGAATCTTCTTTGGGATATATGCACGCAGCTAACAGAGTTGAACCTTTCTATTGACAGAGCAGTTTTGAAACAGTCTTTCTGTGGAATCTGCAAGTGGATATTGGGAATGCTTGGAGGATTTCGTTGGAAACGGGATTACGTATAAAAAGTAGACAGCAGCATCCTCCGAAACTTCTTTGTGATGTGTGCATTCAAGTCACAGAGTTGAACATTCCCTTTCGTACAGCAGTTTGGAAACACTCTTTCTGTAGTATCTGGAAGTGAACATTAGGACAGCTTTCAGGTCTATGGTGAGAAAGGAAATATCTTCAAATAAAAACTAGACAGAAGCATTCTCATAAACTTGTTTGTGATGTGTGAACTCAGCTAACAGAGGTGGATCTTTCCTTTGATAGAGCAGTTCTGAAAAACACTTTTTGTTGAATCTGCAAGTGGACATCTGGATAGATTTGAAGATTTCGTTGGAAACGGGAATATCTTCATATCAAATCTAGACAGAAGCATTCTCAGAAACGTCTTTGTGATGTTTGCATTCAACTCATAGAGTTGAACATTCCCTTTCAGAGAGCAGCTTTGAAGCACTCTTTTTGTAGCATGTGCAAGTGGATATTTGGAGCGCTCTGAGGCCTACGGTGAAAAAGCAAATATCTTCCCATAACCACTAGACAGAAACATTCTCAGAAACTCCTTTATGACGTGTGCACTCACCTAACAGAGAAGAACCTTCCTTTTGACAGAGCAGTTTTGATACACTCTTTTTGTAGAATCTGCAAGTGGATATTTGGATAGCTGTGAAGATTTCGTTGGAAACTGGAATATCTTCCTATAAAATCTAGACAGAAGCATTCTCAGAAACTGCTCTGTGATGTCTGCATTCAAGTCACAGAGTTGAACATTGCCTTTCATAGAGCAGGTTTGAAACGCTCTTTTTGTAGTATAGGGAAGTGGATGTTTCGGACGGTTGGAGGCCCATGGTGATAAAGGGAATATCTTCCCCTGCAAGCTAGAAAGAAGCATTGTGTGAAACTTGTTTGTGATGTGTGTACTCAACTAACAGAGTTGAACCTTTCTTTTCACAGAGCAGTTTTGAAACACTCTTTTTGTAGAATCTGCGAGGGGATATTTGGATAGATTTCAGGATTTCGTTGGAAACGGGAATATCTTCATATAAAATCTCGACAGAAGCATTCTCAGAAACTTCTTTGTGATATGTGCATTCAAGTCACAGAGTTGAATATTCCCTTTCACAGAGTAGGTTTGAAACACTCTTTTTGTAGTATCTGGAAGTGGACATTTGGAGCGCCTTGACGCCTACGGTGAAAAGGGAAATATCTTCCCATAAAAACTAGACAGCAGCAATCTCAGAATCTTCTTTGGGATATATGCACGCAGCTAACAGAGTTGAACCTTTCTATTGACAGAGCAGTTTTGAAACAGTCTTTCTGTGGAATCTGCAAGTGGATATTTGGATAGCTTGGAGGATTTCGTTGGAAACGGGATTACGTATAAAAAGTAGAGAGCAGCATCCTCAGAAACTTCTTTGTGATGTGTGCATTCAAGTCACAGAGTTGAACATTCCCTTTCGTACAGCAGTTTTGAAACACTCTTTCTGTAGTATCTGGAAGTGAACATTAGGACAGCTTTCAGGTCTTTGGTGAGAAAGGAAATATCTTCAAATAAAAACTAGACAGAAGCATACTCATAAACTTGTTTGTGATGTGTGAACTCAGCTAACAGAGGTGGATCTTTCTTTTGATAGAGCAGTTCTGAAAAACACTTTTTGTTGAATCTGCAAGTGGACATTTGGATAGATTTGAAGATTTCGTTGGAAACGGGAATATCTTCATATCAAATCTAGACAGAAGCATTCTCAGAAACGTCTTTGAGATGTTTGCATTCAACTCATAGAGTTGAACATTCCGTTTCAGAGAGCAGCTTTGAAGCACTCTTTTTGTACTATGTGCAAGTGGATATTTGGAGCGCTCTGAGGCCTACGGTGAAAAAGCAAATATCTTCCCATAACCACTAGACAGAAACATTCTCAGAAATTCCTTTATGACGTATGCACTCACCTAAAAGAGAAGAACCTTCCTTTTGACAGAGCAGTTTTGATACACTCTTTTTGTAGAATCTGCAAGTGGATATTTGGATAGCTGTGAAGATTTCGTTGGAAACGGGAATATCTTCCTATAAAATCTAGACAGAAGCATTCTCAGAAACTGCTCTGTGATGTCTGCATTCAAGTCACAGAGTTGAACATTGCCTTTCCTAGAGCAGGTTTGAAACGCTCTTTTTGTAGTATATGGAAGTGGACGTTTCGGACGGTTTGAGGCCCATGGTGACAAAGGGAATATCTTCCCCTACAAGCTAGAAAGAAGCATTCTGTGAAACTTGTTTGTGATGTGTGTACTCAACTAAGAGAGTTGAACCTTTCTTTTCACAGAGCAGTTTTGAAACACTCTTTTTGTAGAATCTGCGAGGGGATATTTGGATAGATTTCAGGATTTCGTTGGAAACGGGAATATCTTCATATAAAATCTCGACAGAAGCATTCTCAGAAACTTCTTTGTGATATGTGCATTCAAGTCACAGAGATGAATATTCCCTTTCACAGAGTAGGTTTGAAACACTCTTTTTGTAGTATCTGGAAGTGGACATTTGGAGCGCCTTGACGCCTACGGTGAAAAGGGAAATATCTTCCCATAAAAACTAGACAGAAGCAATCTCAGAATTTTCTTTGGGATATATGCACATAGCTAACAGAGTTGAACCTTTCTTTTTACAGAGCAGTTTTGAAACACTCTTTTTGTAGAATCTGCAAGTGGATATTTGGATAGCTTGGAGGATTTCGTTGGAAACGGGATTACGTATAAAAAATAGACGGCAGCATCCTCAGAAACTTCTTTGTGATGTGGGCATTCAAGTCACAGAGTTGAACATTCCCTTTCGTACAGCAGTTTTGAAACACTCTTTCTGTAGTATCTGGAAGTGAACATTAGGACAGCTTTCAGGTCTATGGTGAGAAAGGAAATACCTTCAAATAAAAACTAGACAGAAGCATTCTCATAAACTTGTTTGTGATGTGTTAACTCAGCTAAGAGACGTGGATCTTTCTTTTGATAGAGCAGTTCTGAAAAACACATTTTGTTGAATCTGCAAGTGGACATTTGGATAGATTTGAAGATTTCGTTGGAAACGGGAATATCTTCATATCAAATCTAGACAGAAGCATTCTCAGAAACGTCTTTGTGATGTTTGCATTCAACTCATAGAGTTGAACATTCCGCTTCAGAGAGCAGCTTTGAGGCACTCTTTTTGTAGTATGTGCAAGTGGATATTTGGAGCGCTCTGAGGCCTACGGTGAAAAAGCAAATATCTTCCCATAACCACTAGACAGAAACATTCTCAGAAACTGCTTTATGACGTATGCACTCACCTAACAGAGAAGAACCTTCCTTTTGACAGAGCAGTTTTGATACACTCTTTTTGTAGAATCTGCAAGTGGATATTGGGATAGCTGTGAAGATTTCGTTGGAAACGGGAATATCTTCCTATAAAATCTAGACAGAAGCATTCTCAGAAACTGCTCTGTGATGTCTGCATTCAAGTCACAGAGTTGAACATTGCCTTTCATAGAGCAGGTTTGGAATGCTCTTTTTGTAGTATATGGAAGTGGACGTTTCAGACGGTTTGAGGCCCATGGTGATAAAGGGAATATCTTCCCCTACAAGCTAGAAAGAAGCATTCTGTGAAACTTGTTTGTGATGTGTGTACTCAACTAACAGAGTTGAACCTTTCTTTTTACAGAGCAGTTTTGAAACACTCTTTTTGTAGAATCTGCGTGGGGATATTTGGATAGATATCAGGATTTCCTTGGAAACGGGAATATCTTCTTTTAAAATCTCGGCAGAAGCATTCTCAGAAACTTCTTTGTGATATCTGCATTCAAGTCACAGAGTTGAATATTCCCTTTCACAGAGTAGGTTTGAAATACTCTTTTTGTAGTATCTGGAAGTGGACATTTGGAGCGCCTTGACACCTAAAGTGAAAAGGTAAATATCTTCCCATAAAAACTAGACAGAAGCAATCTCAGAATATTCTTTGGGATATATGCACGCAGCTAACAGAGTTAAACCTTTCTATTGACAGAGCAGTTTTGAAACAGTCTTTCTGTGGAATCTGCAAGTGGATATTTGGATAGCTTGGAGGATTTCGTTGGAAACGGGATTACGCATAAAAAGTAGACAGCAGCATCCTCAGAAACTTCTTTGTGATGTGTGCATTCAAGTCACAGAGTTGAACATTCCCTTTCGTACAGCAGTTTTGAAACACTCTTTCTGTAGTATCTGGAAGTGAACATTAGGACAGCTTTCATCTCTATGGTGAGAAAGGAAATATCTTCAAATAAAAACTAGACAGAAGCATTCTCATAAACTTGTTTGTGATGTGTGAACTCAGCTAACAGAGGTGGATCTTTCTTTTCATAGAGCAGTTCTGAAAAACACCTTTTGTTGAATCTGCAAGTGGACATTTGGATAGATTTGAAGATTTCGTTGGAAACGGGAATATCTTCATATCAAATCTAGACAGAAGCATTCTCAGAAACGTCTTTGTGATGTTTGCATTCAACTCATAGATTTGAACATTCCCTTTCAGAGAGCAGCTTTGAAGCACTCTTTTTGTAGTATGTGCAAGGGGATATTTGGAGCTCTCTGAGGCCTAAGGTGAAAAAGCAAATATCTTCCCATAACCACTAGACAGAAACATTCTCAGAAACTTCTTTATGACGTATGTACTCAACTAGCAGAGAAGAACTTTCCTTTTGACAGAGCACTTTTGATACATTCTTTTTGTAGTATCTGCAAGTGGATATTTGGATAGCTGTGAAGATTTCGTTGGAAACGGCAATATCTTCCTATAAAGTCTGGACAGAAGCATTCTCAGAAACTGCTCTGTGGTGTCTGCATTCAAGTCACAGAGTTGAACATTGCCTTTCATAGAGCAGGTTTGAAACGCTCTTTTTGTAGTATATGGAAGTGGATGTTTCGGACGGTTGGAGGCCCATGGTGATAAAGGGAATATCTTCCCCTACAAGCTAGAAAGAAGCATTCTGTGAAACTTGTTTGTGATGTGTGTACTCAACTAACGGAGTTGAACCTTTCTTTTTACAGAGCAGTTTTGAAACACTCTTTTTGTAGAATCTGCGAGGGGATATTTGGATAGATTTCAGGATTTCGTTGGAAACGGGAATATCTTCATAGAAAATACTCGACAGAAGCATTCTCAGAAGCTTCTTTGTGATATGTGCATTCAAGTCACAGAGTTGAATATTCCCTTTCACAGAGTAGGTTTGAAACATTCTTTTTGTAGTATCTGGAAGTGGACATTTGGAGCACCTTGACGCCTACGGTGAAAAGGGAAATATCTTCTCATGAAAAGTAGACAGAAGCAATCTCAGAATCCTCTTTGGGATACATGCACCCAGCTAAGAGAGTTGAACCTTTCTATTGACCGAGCAGTTTTGAAACAGTCTTTCTGTGGAATCTGCAAGTGGATATTTGGATAGCTTGGAGGATTTCGTTGGAAACAGGATCACGTATAAAAAGTAGACAGCAGCATCCTCAGAAACTTCTTTGTGATGTGTGCATTCAAGTCACAGAGTTGAACATCACCTTTCGTACAGCAGTTTTGAAACACTCATTCTGTAGTATCTGGAAGTGAACATTGGGATAGCTTTCAGGTCTATGGTGAGAAAGGAAATATCTTCAAATAAAAACTAGACAGAAGCATTTTCATAAACTTGTTTGTGATGTGTGAACTCAGCTAACAGAGGTGGATCTTTCTTTTGATAGAGCAGTTCTGAAAAACACTTTTTGTTGAATCTGCAAGTGGACATTTGGATAGATTTGAAGATTTCGTTGGAAACGGGGATATCTTCATATCAAATACTAGACAGAAGCATTCTCGGAAACGTCTTTGTGATGTTTGCATTCAACTCATAGAGTTGAACATTCCGTTTCAGAGAGCAGCTTTGAGGCACTCATTTTGTAGTATGTGCAAGTGGATATCTGGAGCGCTCTGAGGCCTTCGGTGAAAAAGCAAATATCTTCCCATAACCACCAGAAAGAAACATTCTCAGAAACTCCTTTATGACGTATGCACTCACCTAACAGAGAAGAACCTTCCTTTGGACAGAGCAGTTTTGATACATACTTTTTGTAGAATCTGAAAGTGGATATTTGGATAGCTGTGAAGATTTCGTTGGAAACGGGAATATCTTCCTATAAAATCTAGACAGAAGCATTCTCAGAAAGTGCTCTGTGATGTCTGCATTCAAGTTACAGAGTTGAACATTGCCTTTCATAGAGCAGGTTTGAAACACTCTTTTTGTAGTATATGGAAGTGGACGTTTCGGACGGTTTGAGGCCCATGGTGATAAAGGGAATATCTTCTCCTACAAGCTAGAAAGAAGCATTGTGTGAAACTTGTTTGTGATGTGTGTACTCAACTAACAGAGTTGAACCTTTCTTTTCACAGAGCAGTTTTGAAACACTCTTTTTGTAGAATCTGCGAGGGGATATTTGGATAGATTTCAGCATTTCGTTGGAAACGGGAATATCTTCATATAAAATCTCGACAGAAGCATTCTCAGAAACTTCTTTGTGATATCTGCATTCAAGTCACAGAGTTGAATATTCCCTTTCACAGAGTAGGTTTGAAACACTCTTTTTGTAGTATCTGGAAGTGGACATTTGGAGCGCCTTGACGTCTACGGTGAAAAGGGAAATATCTTCCCATAAAAACTAGACAGAAGCAATCTCAGAATCTTCTTTGGGATATATGCACGCAGTTAACAGAGTTGAAACTTTCTATTGACAGAGCAGTTTTGAAACAGTCTTTCTGTGGAATCTGCAAGTGGATATTTGGATAGCTTGGAGGATTTCGTTGGAAACGGGATTACGTATAAAAAGTAGACAGCAGCATCCTCAGGAAACTTCTTTGTGATGTGTGCATTCAAGTCACAGAAGTTGAACATTCCCTTTCGTACAGCAGTTTTGAAATACTCTTTCTGTAGTAACTGGAAGTGAACATTAGGACAGCTTTCAGGTCTATGGTGAGAAAGGAAATATCTTCAAATAAAAACTAGACAGAAGCATTCTCATAAACTTGTTTGTGATGTGTGAACTCAGCTAACAGAGGTGGATCTTTCTTTTGATAGAGCAGTTCTGAAAAACACTTTTTGTTGAATCTGCAAGTGGACATTTGGATAGATTTGAAGATTTCGTTGGAAACGGGAATAACTTCATATCAAATCTAGACAGAAGCATTCTCAGAAACGTCTTTGTGATGTTTGCATTCAACTCATAGAGTTGAACATTCCGTTTCAGAGAGCAGCTTTGAAGCACTCTTTTTGTAGTATGTGCAAGTGGATATTTGGAGCGCTGTGAGGCCTACGGTGAAAAAGCAAATATCTTCCCATAACCACTAGACAGAAACATTCTCAGAAACTCCTTTATGACGTATGCACTCACCTAACAGAGAAGAACCTTCCTTTTGACAGAGCAGTTTTGATACACTCTTTTTGTAGAATCTGCAAGTGGATATTTGGATAGCTGTGAAGATTTCGTCGGAAACGGGAATATCTTCCCATAAAATCTAGACAGAAGCATTCTCAGAAACTGCTCTGTGATGTCTGCATTCAAGTCACAGAGTTGAACATTGCCTTTCATAGAGCAGGTTTGAAACGCTCTTTTTGTAGTATATGGAAGTGGACGTTTCAGACGGTTTGCGGCCCATGGTGTTAAAGGGAATATCTTCCCCTACAAGCTAGAAAGAAGCATTCTGTGAAACTTGTTTGTGATGTGTGTACTCAACTAAGAGAGTTGAACCTTTCTTTTTACAGAGCAGTTTTGAAACACACTTTTTGTAGAATCTGCGAGGGGATATTTGGATAGATTTCAGGATTTCGTTGGAAACGGGAATATCTTCATTTAAAATCTCGACAGAAGCATTCTCAGAAACTTCTTTGTGATATCTGCATTCAAGTCACAGAGGTGAATATTCCCTTTCACAGAGTAGGTTTGAAACACTCTTTTTGTAGTATCTGGAAGTGGACATTTGGAGCGCCTTGACGCCTACGGTGAAAAGGGAAATATCTTCCCATAAAAACTAGACAGAAGCAATCTCAGAATCTTCTTTGGGATATATGCACGCAGCTAACAGAGTTGAACCTTTCTATTGACAGAGCAGTTTTGAAACAGTCTTTCTGTGGAATCTGCAAGTGGATATTTGGATAGATTGGAGGATTTCGTTGGAAACGGGATTACGTATCAAAAGTAGACAGCAGCATGCTCAGAAACTTCTTTGTGATGTGTGCATTCAAGTCACAGAGTTGAACATTCCCTTTCGTACAGCAGTTTTGAAACACTCTTTCTGTAGTATCTGGAAGTGAACATTAGGACAGCTTTCAGGTCTATGGTGAGAAAGGAAATATCTTCAAATAAAAACTAGACAGAAGCATTCTCAAAAACTTGTTTGTGATGTGTGAACTCAGCTAACAGAGGTGGATCTTTCTTTTGATAGAGCAGTTCTGAAAAACACGTTTTGTTGAATCTGCAAGTGGACATTTGGATAGATTTGAAGATTTCGTTGGAAACGGGAATATCGTCATATCAAATCTAGAAAGAAGCATTCTCAGAAACGTCTTTGTGATGTTTGCATTCAACTCATAGAGTTGAACATTCCCTTTCAGAGAGCAGATTTGAAGCACTCTTTTTGTAGTATGTGCAAGGGGATATATGGAGCGCTCTGAGGCCTAAGGTGAAAAAGCAAATATCTTCCCATAACCACTAGACAGAAACATTCTCAGAAACTCCTTTATGACGTATGTACTCAACTAACAGAGGAGAACCTTCCTTTTGACAGAGCAGTTTTGATACACTCTTTTTGTAGAATCTGCAAGTGGATATTTGGATAGCTTGGAAGATTTCGTTGGAAAAGGGAATATCTTCCTATAAAACCTAGACAGAAGCATTCTCAGAAACTGCTCTGTGATGTCTGCATTCAAGTCACAGAGTTGAACATTGCCTTTCATAGAGCAGGTTTGAAACGCTCTTTTTGTAGTATATGGAAGTGGATGTTTCGGACGCTTGGAGGCCCATGGTGATAAAGGGAATATCTTCCCCTACAAGCTAGAAAGAAGCATTCTGTGAAACTTGTTTGTGATGTGTGTACTCAACTAACAGAGTTGAACCTTTCTTTTTACAGAGCAGTTTTGAAACACCCTTTTTGTAGAATCTGCGAGGGGATATTTGGATAGATTTCAGGATTTCGTTGGAAACGGGAATATCTTCATATAAAATCTCGACAGAAGCATTCTCAGAAACTTCTTTGTGATATGTGCATTCAAGTCACAGAGTTGAATATTCCCTTTCACAGACTAGGTTTGAAAAACCCTTTTTGTAGTAGTCTGGAAGTGGACATTTGGAGCGCCTTGACGCCTACGGTGAAAAGGGAAATATCTTCTCATAAAAAGTAGACAGAAGCAATCTCAGAATCTTCTTTGGGATATATGCACGCAGCTAACAGAGTTGAACCTTTCTATTGACAGAGCAGTTTTGAAACAGTCTTTCTGTGGAATCTGCATGTGGATATTTGGATAGCTTGGAGGATTTCGTTGGAAACGGGATTACGTATAAAAAGTAGACAGCAGCATCCTCAGAAACTTCTTTGTGATGTGTGCATTCAAGTCACAGAGTTGAATATTCCCTTTCGTACAGCAGTTTTGAAACACTCTTTCTGTAGCATCTGGAAGTGAACATTAGAACAGCTTTCAGGTCTATGGTGAGAAAGGAAATATCTTCAAATAAAAACTAGACAGAAGCATTCTCATAAACTTGTTTCTGATGTGTGAACTCAGCTAACAGACGTGGATCTTTCTTTTGATACAGCAGTTTTGAAAAACACTTTTTGTTGAATCTGCAAGTGGACATTTGGATAGATATGAAGATTTCGTTGGAAACGGGAATATCTTCATATCAAATCTAGACAGAAGCATTCTCAGCAAACGTCTTTGTGATGTTTGCATTCAACTCATAGAGTTGAACATTCCGTTTCAGAGCAGCAGCTTTGAAGCACTCTTTTTGTAGTATGTGCAAGTGGATATTTGGATCGCTGTGAGGCCTAAGGTGAAAAAGCAAATATCTTCCCATAACCACTAGACAGAAACATTCTCAGAAACGCCTTTATGACGTATGCACTCACCTAACAGAAAAGAACCTTTCTTTTGACAGAGCAGTTTTGATACACTCTTTTTGTAGAATCTGCAAGTGGATATTTGGATAGCTGTGAAGATTTCGTTGGAAACGGGAATATCTTCCTATAAAATCTAGACAGAAGCATTCTCAGAAACTGCTCTGTGATGTCTGCATTCAAGTCACAGAGTTGAACATTGCCTTTCATAGAGCAGGTTTGAAACGCTCTTTTTGTAGTATATGGAAGTGGATGTTTCGGACGGTTGGAGGCCCATGGTGATAAAGGGAGTATCTTCCCCTACAAGCTAGAAAGAAGCATTCTGTGAAACTTGTTTGTGATGTGTGTACTCAACTAACAGAGTTGAACCTTTCTTTTTACAGAGCAGTTTTGAAACACTCTTTTTGTAGAATCTGCGAGGGGATAATTGGATAGATTTCAGGATTTCATTGGAAACGGGAATATCTTCATATAAAATCTCGACAGAAGCATTCTCAGAAACTTCTTTGTGATATGTGCATTCAAGTCACAGAGTTGAATATTCCCTTTCACAGAGTAGGTTTGAAACACCCTTTTTGTAGTATCTGGAAGTGGACATTTGGAGCGCCTTGACACCTACGGTGAAAAGGGAAATATCTTCCCATAAAAACTAGACAGAAGCAATCTCAGAATCTTCTTTGGGATATATGCACGCAGCTAACAGAGTTGAACCTTTCTATTGACAGAGCAGTTTTGAAACACTCTTTCTGTGGAATCTGCAAGTGGATATTTCGATAGCTTGGAGGATTTCGTTGGAAACGGGATTACGTATAAAAAGTAGACAGCAGCATCCTCAGAAACTTCTTTGTGATGTGTGCATTCAAGTCACAGAGTTGAACATTCCCTTTCGTACAGCAGTTTTGAAACACTCTTTCTGTAGTATCTGGAAGTGAACATTAGGACAGCTTTCAGGTCTATGGTGAGAAAGGAAATATCTTCAAGTAAAAACTAGACAGAAGCATTCTCATAAACTTGTTTGTGATGTGGGAACTCAGCTAACAGAGGCGGATCTTTCTGTTGATAGAGCAGTTCGGAAAAACACTTTTTGTTGAATCTGCAAGTGGACATTTGGATAGATTTGAAGATTTCGTTGGAAACGGGAATATCTTCATATCAAATCTAGACAGAAGCATTCTCAGAAACGTCTTTCTGATGTTTGCATTCAACTCATAGAGTTGAACATTCCCTTTCAGAGAGCAGCTTTGAAGCACTCTTTTTGTAGTATGTGCAAGGGGATATATGGAGCGCTCTGAGGCCTAAGGTGAAAAAGCAAATATCTTCCCATAACCACTAGACAGAAACATTCTCAGAAACTCCTTTATGACGTATGCACTCACCTAACAGAGAAGAACCTTCCTTTTGACAGAGCAGTTTTGATACACTCTTTTTGTAGAATCTGCAAGTGGATATTGGGATAGCTGTGAAGATTTCGTTGGAAACGGGAATATCTTCCTATAAAATCTAGACAGAAGCATTCTCAGAAACTGCTCTGTGATGTCTGCATTCAAGTCACAGAGTTGAACATTGCCTTTCCTAGAGCAGGTTTGAAACGCTCTTTTTGTAGTATATGGAAGTGGACGTTTCGGACGGTTTGAGGCCCATGGTGATAAAGGGAATATCTTCCCCTATAAGCTAGAAAGAAGCATTCTGTGAAACTTGTTTGTGATGTGTGTACTCAACTAACAGAGTTGAACCTTTCTTTTTACAGAGCAGTTTTGAAACACTCTTTTTGTAGAATCTGCGAGGGGATATTTGGATAGATTTCAGGATTTCGTTGGAAACGGGAATATCTTCATAGAAAATGCTCGACAGAAGCATTCTCAGAAACTTCCTTGTGATATGTGCATTCAAGTCACAGAGTTGAATATTCCCTTTCACAGAGTAGGTTTGAAACACTCTTTTTGTAGTATCTGGAAGTGGACATTTGGAGCGCCTTGACGCCCACGGTGAAAAGGGAAATATCTTCCCATAAAAACTAGACAGAAGCAATCTCAGAATCTTCTTTGGGATATATGCACGCAGCTAACAGAGTTGAACCTTTCTATTGACAGAGCAGTTTTGAAACAGTCTTTCTGTGGAATCTGCAAGTGGATATTTGGATAGCTTGGAGGATTTCGTTGGAAACGGGATTAAGTATAAAAAGTAGACAGCAGCATCCTCAGAAACTTCTTTGTGATGTGTGCATTCAAGTCACAGAGTTGAACATTCCCTTTTGTACAGCAGTTTTGAAACACTCTTTCTGTAGTATCTGGAAGTGAACATTAGGACAGCTTTCAGGTCTATGGTGAGAAAGAAAATATCTTCAAATAAAAACTAGACAAAAGCATTCTCATAAACTTGTTTGTGATGTGTGAACTCAGCTAACAGAGGTGGATCTTTCTTTTGATAGAGCAGTTCTGAAAAACACTTTTTGTTGAATCTGCAAGTGGATATTTGGATAGATTTGAAGATTTCGTTGGAAACGGGAATATCTTCATATCAAATCTAGACAGAAGCATTCTCAGAAACGTCTTTGTGATGTTTGCATTCAACTCATAGAGTTGAACATTCCCTTTCAGAGAGGAGCTTTGAAGCACTCTTTTTGTAGTATGTGCAAGGGGATATTTGGAGCGCTCTGAGGCCTAAGGTGAAAAAGCAAATATCTTCCCATAACCACTAGACAGAAACATTCTCAGAAATTTCTTTATGACGAATTTACTCAACTAGCAGAGAAGAACTTTCCTTTTGACAGAGCACTTTTGATACACTCTTTTTTAGTATCTGCAAGTGGATATTTGGATAGCTGTGAAGATTTCGTTGGAAACGGGAATATCTTCCTATAAACTCTGGACAGAAGCATTCTCAGAAACTGCTCTGTGATGTCTGCATTCAAGTCACAGAGTTCAACATTGCCTTTCATAGAGCAGGTTTGAAACGCTCTTTTTGTAGTATATGGAAGTGGATGTTTCGGACGGTTGGAGGCCCATGGTGACAAAGGGAATATCTTCCCCTACAAGCTAGAAAGAAAGCATTCTGTGAAACTTGTTTGTGATGTGTGTACTCAACTAACAGGAGTTGAACCTTTCTTTTTACAGAGCAGTTTTGAAACACTCTTTTTGTAGAATCTGCGAGGGGATATTTGGATACATTTCAGCATTTCGTTGGAAACGGGAATATCTTCATATAAAATCTCGACAGAAGCATTCTCAGAAACTTCTTTGTGATATGTGCATTCAAGTCACAGAGTTGAATATTCCCTTTCCCAGAGTAGGTTTGAAACACTCTTTTTGTAGTATCTGGAAGTGGACATTTGGAGCGCCTTGACACCTACGGTGAAAAGGGAAATATCTTCCCATAAAAACTAGACAGAAGCAATCTCAGAATCTTCTTTGGGATATATGCACGCAGCTAACAGAGTTGAACCTTTCTATTGACAGAGCAGTTTTGAAACAGTCTTTCTGTGCAATCTGCAAGTGGATATTTGGATAGCTTGGAGGATTTCGTTGGAAACGGGATTACGTATAAAAAGTAGACAGCAGCATCCTCAGAAACTTCTTTGTGATGTGTGCATTCAAGTCACAGAGTTGAACATTCCCTTTCGTACAGCAGTTTTGAAACACTCTTTCTGTAGTATCTGGAAGTGAACATTAGGACAGCTTTCAGTTCTATGGTGAGAAAGGAAATATCTTCAAATAAAAACTAGACAGAAGCATTCTCATCAACTTGTTTGTGATGTGTGAACTCAGCTAACACACGTGGATCTTTCTTTTGATAGAGCAGTTCTGAAAAACACTTTGTTGAATCTGCAAGTGGACATTTGGATAGATTTCAAGATTTCGTTGGAAACGGGAATATCTTCATATCAAATCTAGACAGAAGCATTCTCAGAAACGTCTTTGTGATGTTTGCATTCAACTCATAGAATTGAACATTGCGGTTCAGAGAGCAGCTTTGAAGCACTCTTTTTGTAGTATGTGCAAGTGGATATTTGGAGCGCTCTGAGGCCTAAGGTGAAAAAGCAAATATCTTCCCATAACCACTAGACAGAAACATTCTCAGAAACTTCTTTATGACGTATGTACTCAACTAGCAGAGAAGAACTTTCCTTTTGACAGAGCACTTTTGATACACTCTTTTTGTAGTATCTGCAAGTGGATATTTGGATAGCTGTGAAGATTTCGTTTGAAACGGGAATATCTTCCTATAAAGTCTGGACAGAAGCATTCTCAGAAACTGCTCTGTGATGTCTGCATTCAAGTCACAGAGTTGAACATTGCCTTTCATAGAGCAGGTTTCAAACACTCTTTTTTTAGTATATGGAAGTGGACGTTTCGGACGGTTTGAGGACCATGGTGATAAAGGAAATATCTTCCCCTACAAGCTAGAAAGAAGCATTGTGTGAAACTTGTTTGTGATGTGTGTACTCAACTAACAGAGTTGAACCTTTCTTTTTACAGAGCAGTTTTGAAACACTCTTTTTGTAGAATCTGCAAGGGGATATTTGGATAGATTTCAGGATTTCGTTGGAAACGGGAATATCTTCATATAAAATCTCGACAGAAGCATTCTCAGAAACTTCTTTGTGATATCTGCATTCAAGTCACAGAGTTGAATATTCCCTTTCACAGAGTAGGTTTGAAACACTCTTTTTGTAGTATCTGGAAGTGGGCATTTGGAGCGCTTTGACGCCTACGGTGAAAAGGGAAATATCTTCCCATAAAAACTAGACAGAAGCAATCTCAGAATCTTCTTTGGGATATATGCACGCAGCTAACAGAGTTGAACCTTTCTATTGACAGAGCAGTTTTGAAACAATCTTTCTGTGGAATCTGCAAGTGGATATTTGGATAGCTTGGAGGATTTCGTTGGAAACGGGATTACGTATAAAAAGTAGACAGCAGCATCCTCAGGAACTTCTTTGTGATGTGTGCATTCAAGTCACAGAGTTGAACATTCCCTTCCGTACAGCAGTTTTGAAACACTCTTTCTGTAGTATCTGGAAGTGAACATTAGGACAGCTTTCAGGTTTATGGTGAGAAAGGAAATATCTTCAAATAAAAACTAGACAGAAGCATTCTCATAAACTTGTTCGTAATGTGTGAACTCAGCTAACACACGTGGATCTTTCTTTTGATAGAGCAGTTCTGAAAAACACTTTTTTTTGAATCTGCAAGTGGACATTTGGATAGATTTGAAGATTTCGTTGGAAACGGGAATATCTTCATATCAAATCTAGACAGAAGCATTCTCAGAAACGTCTTTGTGATGTTTGCATTCAACTCATAGAGTTGAACATTCCGTTTCAGAGAGCAGCTTTGAAGCACTCTTTTTGTAGTATATGCAAGTGGATATTTGGAGCGCTCTGAGGCCTACGGTGAAAAAGCAAATATCTTCCCATAACCACTAGACAGAAACATTCTCAGAAACTCCTTTATGACGGTATGCACTCACCTAACAGAGAAGAACCTTCCTTTTGACAGAGCAGTTTTGATACACTCTTTTTGTAGAATCTGCAAGTGGATATTTGGATACCTGTGAAGATTTCGTTGGAAACGGGAATATCTTCCTATAAAATCTAGACAGAAGCATTCTCAGAAACTGCTCTGTGATGTCTGCATTCAAGTCACAGAGTTGAACATTGCCTTTCATAGAGCAGGTTTGAAATGCTCTTTTTGTAGTATATGGAAGTGGACGTTTCAGACGGTTTGAGGCCCATGGTGATAAAGGGAATATCTTCCCCTAAAAGCTAGAAAGAAGCATTCTGTGAAACTTGTTTGTGATGTGTGTACTCAACTAACAGAGTTGAACCTTTCTTTTTACAGAGCAGTTTTGAAACACTCTTTTTGTAGAATCTGCGAGGGGATATTTGGATAGATTTCAGGATTTCGTTGGCAACGGGAGTATCTTCACATAAAATCTCGACAGAAGCATTCTCAGAAACTTCCTTGTGATATGTGCATTCAAGTCACAGAGTTGAATATTCCCTTTCACAGAGTAGGTTTGAAACACTCTTTTTGTAGTATCTGGAAGTGGTCATTTGGAGCGCCTTGACGCCACGGTGAAAAGGGAAATATCTTCCCATAAAAACTAGACAGAAGCAATCTCAGAATCTTCTTTGGGATATATGCATGCAGCTAACAGAGTTGAACCTTTCTATTGACAGAGCAGTTTTGAAACAGTCTTTCTGTGGAATCTGCAAGTGGATATTTGGATAGCTTGGAGGATTTCGTTGGAAACGGTATTACATATAAAAAGTAGACAGCAGCATACTCAGAAACTTCTTTGTGATGTGTGCATTCAAGTCACAGAGTTGAACATTCCCTTTCGTACAGCAGTTTTGAAACACTCTTTCTGTAGTATCTGGAAGTGAACATTAGGACAGCTTTCAGGTCTATGGTGAGAAAGGAAATATCTTCAAATAAAAACTAGACAGAAGCATTCTCATAAACTTGTTCGTAATGTGTGAACTCAGCTAACACACGTGGATCTTTCTTTTGATAGAGCAGTTCTGAAAAACACTTTTTGTTGAATCTGCAAGTGGACATTTGGATAGATTTGAAGATTTCGTTGGAAACGGGAATATCTTCATATCAAATCTAGACAGAAGCATTCTCGGAAACGTCTTTGTGATGTTTGCATTCAACTCATAGAGTTGAACATTCCGTTTCAGAGAGCAGCTTTGAAGCACTCTTTTTGTAGTATGTGCAAGGGGATATTTGGAGCGCTCTGAGGCCTAAGGTGAAAAAGCAAATATCTTCCCATAACCACTAAACAGAAACATTCTCAGAAACTTCTTTATGACGTATGTACTCAACTAGCAGAGAAGAACTTTCCTTTTGAGAGAGCATTTTTGATACACTCTTTTTGTAGTATCTGCAGGTGGATATTTGGATAGCTGTGAAGATTTCGTTGGAAACGGGAATATCTTCCTATAAAGTCTGGACAGAAGCATTCTCAGAAACTGCTCTGTGATGTCTGCATTCAAGTCACAGAGTTGAACATTGCCTTTCCTAGAACAGGTTTGAAACGCTCTTTTTGTAGTATATGGAAGTGGACGTTTCGGCCTGTTTGAGGCCCATGGTGATAAAGGGAATATCTTCCCCTACAAGCTAGAAAGAAGCATTGTGTGAAACTTGTTTGTGATGTGTGTACTCAACTAACAGAGTTGAACCTTTCTTTTTACAGAGCAGTTTTGAAACACTCTTTTTGTAGAATCTGCGAGGGGAAATTTGGATAGATTTCAGGATTTCGTTGGAAACGGGAATATCTTCATATAAAATCTCGACAGAAGCATTCTCAGAAACTTCTTTGTGATATCTGCATTCAAGTCACAGAGTTGAATATTCCCTTTCACAGAGTAGGTTTGAAACACTCTTTGTAGTATCTGGAAGTGGACATTTGGAGCGCCTTGACGCCTACGGTGAAAAGGGAAATATCTTCCCATAAAAACTAGACAGAAGCAATCTCAGAATCTTCTTTGGGATATATGCACGCAGCTAACAGAGTTGAACCTTTCTATTGACAGAGCAGTTTTGAAACAGTCTTTCTGTGGAATCTGCAAATGGATATTTGGATAGCTTGGAGGATTTCGTTGGAAACGGGATTATGTATAAAAAGTAGACAGCAGCATCCTCAGAAACTTCTTTGTGATGTGTGCATTCAAGTCCCAGAGTTGAACATTCCCTTTCGTACAGCAGTTTTGAAACACTCTTTCTGTAGTATCTGGAAGTGAACATTAGGACAGCTTTCAGGTCTATGGTGAGAAAGGAAATATCTTCAAATAAAAACTAGACAGAAGCATTCTCATAAACTTGTTTGTGATGTCTGAACTCAGCTAACAGAGGTGGATCTTTCTTTTGATAGAGCAGTTCTGAAAAACACTTTTGGTTGAATCTGCAAGTGGACATTTGGATAGATTTGAAGACTTCGTTGGAAACGGGAATATCTTCATATCAAATCTAGACAGAAGCATTCTCAGAAATGTCTTTGTGATGTTTGCATTCAACTCATAGAGTTGAACATTCCGTTTCAGAGACCAGCTTTGAAGCACTCTTTTTGTAGTATGTGCAAGTGGATATTTGGAGCGCTCTGAGGCCTACGGTGAAAAAGCAAATATCTTCCCATAACCACTAGACAGAAACATTCTCAGAAACTTCTTTATGACGTATGTACTCAACTAGCAGAGAAGAACTTTCCTTTTGACAGAGCATTTTTGATACACTCTTTTTGTACTATCTGCAAGTGGATATTTGGATAGCTGTGAAGATTTCGTTGGAAACGGGAATATCTCCCTATAAAGTCTGGACAGAAGCATTCTCAGAAACTGCTCTGTGATGTCTGCATTCAAGTCACAGAGTTGAACATTGCCTTTCATAGAGCAGGTTTGAAACGCTCTTTTTGTATTATATGGAAGTGGATGTTTCGGACGGTTGGAGGCCCATGGTGATAAAGGGAATATCTTCCCCTACAAGCTAGAAAGAAGCATTCTGTGAAACTTGTTTGTGATGTGTGTACTCAACTAACAGAGTTGAACCTTTCTTTTTACAGAGCAGTTTTGAAACACTCTTTTTGTAGAATCTGCGAAGGGAAATTTGGATAGATTTCAGGATTTCGTTGGAAACGGGAATATCTTCATACAAAATCTCGACAGAAGCATTCTCAGAAACTTCTTTGTGATATGTGCATTCAAGTCACAGAGTTGAATATTCCCGTTCACAGAGTAGGTTTGAAACACTCTTTTTGTAGTATCTGGAAGTGGACATTTGGAGCGCCTTGACTCCTACCGCGTGAAAAGGGAAATATCTTCCCATAAAAACTAGACAGAAGCAATCTCAGAATCTTCTTTGTGATATATGCACGCAGCTAACAGAGTTGAACCTTTCTATTGACAGAGCAGTTTTGAAACAGTCTTTCTGTGGAATCTGCAAGTGGATATTTGGATAGCTTGGAGGATTTCGTTGGAAACGGGATTATGTATAAAAAGTAGACAGCAGCATCCTCAGAAACTTCTTTGTGATGTGTGCATTCAAGTCACAGAGTTGAACATTCCCTTTCGTACAGCAGTTTTGAAACACTCTTTCTGTAGTATCTGGAAGTGAACATTAGGAGAGCTTTCAGGTCTATGTTGAGAAAGGAAATATCTTCAAATAAAAACTAGACAGAAAGCATTCTCATAAACTTCTTTGTGATGTGTGAACTCAGCTAACCGAGGTGGATCTTTCTTTTGATAGAGCAGTTCTGAAAAAAACTTTTTGTTGAATCTGCAAGTGGACATTTGGATAGATTTGAAGATTTCGTTGGGAACGGGAATATCTTCATATCAAATCTAGACAGAAGCATTCTCGGAAACGTCTTTGTGATGTTTGCATTCAACTCATAGAGTTGAACATTCCGTTTCAGAGAGCAGCTTTGAAGCACTCTTTTTGTAGTATGTGCAAGTGGATATTTGGAGCGCTCTGAGGCCTACGGTGAAAAAGCAAATATCTTCCCATAACCACTAGACAGAAAGATTCTCAGAAACTCCTTTATGACGTATGCACTCACCTAACAGAGAAGAACCTTCCTTTTGACAGAGCAGTTTTGATACACTCTTTTTGTAGAATCTGCAAGTGGATATTTGGATAGCTGTGAAGATTTCGTTGGAAACGGGAATATCTTCCTATAAAATCTAGACAGAAGCATTCTCAGAAACTGCTCTGTGATGTCTGCATTCAAGTCACAGAGTTGAACATTGCCTTTCCTAGAGCAGGTTTGAAACGCTCTTTTTGTAGTATATGGAAGTAAACGTTTCGGACGGTTTGAGGCCCATGGTGATAAAGGGAATATCTTCCCCTACAAGCTAGAAAGAAGCATTGTGTGAAACTTGTTTGTGATGTGTGTACTCAACTAACAGAGTTGAACCTTTCTTTTTACAGAGCAGTTTTGAAACACTCTTTTTTTAGAATCTGCGAGGGGATATTTGGATACATTTCAGGATTTCGTTGGAAACGGGAATATCTTCATATAAAATCTCGACAGAAGCATTCTCAGAAACTTCTTTGTGATATGTGCATTCGAGTCACAGAGTTGAATATTCCCTTTCACAGAGTAGGTTTGAAACACTCTTTTTGTAGTATCTGGAAGTGGACATTTGGAGCGCCTTGACGCCTACGGTGAAAAGGGAAATATCTTCCCATAAAAACTAGACAGAAGCAATCTCAGAATCTTCTTTGTGATATATGCACGCAGCTAACAGAGTTGAACCTTTCTATTGACTGAGCAGATTTGAAACAGTCTTTCTGTGGAATCTGCAAGTGGATATTTGGATAGCTTGGAGGATTTCGTTGGAAACGGGATTACGTATAAAAAGTAGACAGCAGCATCCTCAGAAACTTCTTTGTGATGTGTGCATTCAAGTCACAGAGTTGAACATTCCCTTTCGTACAGCAGTTTTGAAACACTCTTTCTGTAGTATCTGGAAGTGAACATTAGGATAGCTTTCAGGTCTATGGTGAGAAAGGGAATATCTTCAAATAAAAACTAGACAGAAGCATTCTCATAAACTTGTTTGTGATGTGTGAACTCAGCAAACAGCGGTGGATCTTTCTTTTGATAGAGCAGTTCTGAAAAACACTTTTTGTTGAATCTGCAAGTGGACATTTGGATAGTTTTGAAGGTTTCGTTGGAAACGGGAATATCTTCATATCAAATCTAGACAGAAAGGATTCTCGGAAACGTCTTTGTGATGTTTGCATTCAACTCATAGAGTTGAACATTCCCTTTCAGAGAACAGCTTTGAAGCACTCTTTTTGTAGTATGTGCAAGGGGATATTTGGAGCGCTCTGAGGCCTAAGGTGAAAAAGCAAATATCTTCCCATAACCACTAGACAGAAACATTGCTCAGAAACTCCTTTATGACGTATGCACTCACCTAACAGAGAAGAACCTTCCTTTTGACAGAGCAGTTTTGATACACTCTTTTTGTAGAATCTGCAAGTGGATATTTGGATAGCTGTGAAGATTTCGTTGGAAACGGGAATATCTTCCTATAAAATCTAGACAGAAGCATTCTCAGAAACTGCTCTGTGATGTCTGCATTCAAGTCACAGAGTTGAACATTGCCTTTCATAGAGCAGGTTTGAAACTCTCTTTTTGTAGTATATGGTAGTAGACGTTTCGGACGGTTTGAGGCCCATGGTGATAAAGGGAATATGTTACCCTACAAGCTAGAAAGAAGCATTCTGTGAAACTTGTTTGTGATGTGTGTACTCAACTAACAGAGTTGAACGTTTCTTTTTACAGAGCAGTTTTGAAACACTCTTTTTGTAGAATCTGCGAGGGGATATTTGGATACATTTCAGGATTTCGTTGGAAACGGGAATATCTTCATATAAAATCTCGACAGAAGCATTCTCAGAAACTTCTTTGTGATATGTGCATTCAAGTCACAGAGTTGAATATTCCCTTTCACAGAGTAGGTTTGAAACACTCTTTTTGTAGTATCTGGAAGTGGACATTTTGAACGCCTTGACACCTACGGTGAAAAGGGAAATATCTTCCCATAAAAACTAGACAGAAGCAATCTCAGAATCTTCTTTGGGATATATGCACGCAACTAACAGCAGTTGAACCTTTCTATTGACAGAGCAGTTTTGAAACAGTCTTTCTGTGGAATCTGCAAGTGGATATTTGGATAGCTTGGAGGATTTCTTTGGAAATGGGATTACGTATAAAAAGTAGACAGCAGCATCCTCAGAAACTTCTTTGTGATGTGTGCATTCAAGTCACAGAGTTGAACATTCCCTTTCGTACAGCAGTTTTGAAACACTCTTTCTGTAGTATCTGGAAGTGAACTTTAGGACAGCTTTCAGGTCTATAGTGAGAAAGGATATATCTTCAAATAAAAACTAGACGGAAGCATTCTGATAAACTTGTTTGTGAAGTGTGAACTCAGCTAACAGAGGTGGATCTTTCTTTCGAAACAGCAGTTTCGAAAAACACTTTTTGTTGAATCTGCAAGTGGACATTTGAATAGATTTGAAGATTTCGTTGGAAAGAGGAATATCTTCATATGAAATCTAGACAGAAGCATTCTCAGAAACGTCTTTGTGATGTTTGCATTCAACTCATAGAGTTGAACATTCCGTTTCAGAGAACAGCTTTGAAGCACTCTTTTTGTAGTATGTGCAAGTGGATATTTGGAGCGCTCTGAGGCCTACGGGGTTAAAGAAAATGTCTAACCATAACCACTAGACTGAAACATTCTCAGAAACTCCTTTATGACGTTTGTACTCAACTAACAGAGAAGAACGTTCCTATTGACAGAGCAGTTTTGATACACTCTTTTTGTAGAATCTGCAAGTGGATATTTGGATAGCTGTGAAGATTTCGTTGGAAACGGGAATATCTTCCTATAAAATCTAGACAGAAGCATTCTCAGAAACTGCTCTGTGATGTCTGCATTCAAGTCACAGAGTTGAACATTGCCTTTCCTAGAGCAGGTTTGAAACGCTCTTTTTGTAGTATATGGAAGTGGACTTTTCGGACGGTTTGAGGCCCATGGTGATAAAGGGAATATCTTCCCCTACAAGCTAGAAAGAAGCATTCTGTGAAACTTGTTTGTGATGTGTGTACTCAACTAACAGAGTTGAACCTTTCTTTTTACAGAGCAGTTTTGAAACACTCTTTTTGTAGAATCTGCGAGGGGATATTTGGAGAGACTTCAGGATTTCGTTGGAAACGGGAATATCTTCATATAAAATCTCGACAGAAGCATTCTCAGAAACTTCTTTGTGATATCTGCCTTCAAGTCACAGAGTTGAATATTCCCTTTCACAGAGTAGGTTTGAAACACTCTTTTTGTAGTATCTGGAAGTGGACATTTGGAGCGCCTCGACACCTACGGTGAAAAGGGAAATATCTTCCCATAAAAACTAGACAGAAGCAATCTCAGAATCTTCTTTGGGATATATGCACGCAGCTAACAGAGTTGAACCTTTCTATTGACAGAGCAGTTTTGAAACAGTCTTTCTGGGGAATCTGCAAGTGGATATTTGGATAGCTTGGAGGATTTCGTTGGAAACAGGATTACGTATAAAAAGTAGACAGCAGCATCCTCAGAAACTTCTTTGTGATGTGTGCATTCAAGTCACAGAGTTGAACATTCCCTTTCGTACAGCAGTTTTGAAACACTCTTTCTGTAGTATCTGGAAGTGAACATTAGAACAGCTTTCAGCTCTATGGTGAGAAAGGAAATATCTTCAAATAAAAACTAGACAGAAGCATTCTCATAAACTTGTTTGTGATGTGTGAACTCAGCTAACAGAGGTGGATCTTTCTTTTGATAGAGCAGTTCTGAAAAACACGTTTTGTTGAATCTGCAAGTGGACATTTGGATAGATTTGAAGATTTCGTTGGAAACGGGAATATCGTCATATCAAATCTAGACAGAAGCATTCTCAGAAACGTCTTTGTGATGTTTGCATTCAACTCATAGAGTTGAACATTCCCTTTCAGAGAGCAGCTTTGAAGCACTCTTTTTGTAGCATTTGCAAGTGGACATTTGGAGCGCCCTGAGGCATACGGGGAAAAAGCAAATATCTTCCCATAACCACTAGACAGAAACATTCTCAGAAACTCCTGTATGACGTGTGCACTCACCTAACAGAGAAGAACCTTCCTTTTGACAGAGCAGTTTTGATACACTCTTTTTGTAGAATTTGCAAGTGGATATTTGGATAGCTGTGAAGATTTCGTTGGAAACGGGAATATCTTCCTATAAAATCTAGACAGAAGCATTCTCAGAAACTGCTCTGTGATGTCTGCATTCAAGTCACAGAGTTGAACATTGCCTTTCCTAGAGCAGGTTTGAAACGCTCTTTTTGTAGTATATGAAAGTGGACGTTTCGGACGGTTTGAGGACCATGGTGATAAAGGGAATATCTTCCCCTACAAGCTAGAAAGAAGCATTCTGTGAAACTTGTTTGTGATGTGTGTACTCAACTAACAGAGTTGAACCTTTCTTTTCACAGAGCAGTTTTGAAACACTCTTTTTGTAGAATCTGCGAGGGGATATTTGGATAGATTTCAGGATTTCGTTGGAAAGGGGAATATCTTCATATAAAATCTCGACAGAAGCATTCTCAGAAACTTCTTTGTGATATCTGCCTTTAAGTCACAGAGTTGAATATTCCCTTTCACAGAGTAGGTTTGAAACACTCTTTTTGTAGTATCTGGAAGTGGACATTTGGAGCGCCTTGACACCTACGGTGAAAAGGGAAATATCTTCCCATAAAAACTAGACAGAAGGAATCTCAGAATCTTCTTTGGGATATATGCACGCAGCTAACAGAGTTGAACCTTTCTATTGACAGAGCAGTTTTGAAACAGTCTTTCTGTGGAATCTGCACGTGGATATTTGGATAGCTTGGAGGATTTCGTTGGAAACGGGATTACGTATAAAAAGTAGACAGCAGCATCCTCAGAAACTTCTTTGTGATGTGTGCATTCAAGTCACAGTGTTGAACATTCCCTTTCGTACAGCAGTTTTGAAACACTCTTTCTGTAGTATCTGGAAGTGAACATTAGGACAGCTTTCAGGTCTATGGTGAGAAAGGAAATATCTTCAAATAAAAACTAGACAGAAGCATTCTCATAAACTTGTTTGTGATGTGTGAACTCAGCTAACAGAGGTGGATCTTTCTTTTGATAGAGCAGTTCTGAAAAACACTTTTTGTTGAATCTGCAAGTGGACATTTGGATAGATTTGAAGATTTCGTTGGAAACGGGAATATCTATATATCAAATCTAGACAGAAGCATTCTCAGAAACGTCTTTGTGATGTTTGCATTCAACTCATAGAGTTGAACATTCCGTTTCAGAGAGCAGGTTTGAAGCACTCTCTTTGTAGTATGTGCAAGTGGATATTTGGAGGGCTCTGAGGCCTACGGTGAAAAAGCAAATATCTTCCCATAACCACTAGACAGAAACATTCTCAGAAACTCCTTTATGACGTATGCACTCACCTAACAGAGAAGAACCTTCCTTTTGACGGAGCAGTTTTGATACACTCTTTTTGTAGAATCTGCAAGTGGATATTTGGATAGCTGTGAAGATTTCGTTGGAAACGGGAATATCTTCCTATAAAATCTAGACAGAAGCATTCTCAGAAACTGCTCTGTGATGTCTGCATTCAAGTCACAGAGTTGAACATTGCCTTTCATAGAGCAGGTTTGGAACGCTCTTTTTGTAGTATATGGAAGTGGACGTTTCGGACGGTTTGAGGCCCATGGTGATAAAGGGAATATCTTCCCCTACAAGCTAGAAAGAAGCATTCTGTGAAACTTGTTTGTGATGTGTGTACTCAACTAACAGAGTTGAACCTTTCTTTTTACAGAGCAGTTTTGAAACACTCCTTTTGTAGAATCTGCGAGGGGATATTTGGATAGATTTCAGGATTTCGTTGGAAACGGGAATATCTTCATATAAAATCTCGACAGAAGCATTCTCAGAAACTTCTTTGTGATATCTGCCTTTAAGTCACAGAGTTGAATATTCCCTTTCACAGAGTAGGTTTGAAACACTCTTTTTGTAGTATCTGGAAGTGGACATTTGGAGCGCCTTGACGCCTACGGTGAAAAGGGAAATATCTTCCCATAAAAACTAGACAGAAGCAATCTCAGAATCTTCTTTGGGATATATGCACGCAGCTAACAGAGTTGAACCTTTCTATTGACAGAGCAGTTTTGAAACAGTCTTTCTGTGGAATCTGCAAGTGGATATTTGGATAGCTTTGAGGATTTCGTTGGAAACGGGATTACGTATAAAAATTAGACAGCATCATCCTCAGAAACTTCTTTGTGATGTGTGCATTCAAGTCACAGAGTTGAACATTCCCTTTCGTACAGCAGTTTTGAAACACTCTTTCTATAGTATCTGGAAGTGAACATTAGGACAGCTTTCAGGTCTATGGTGAGAAAGGAAATATCTTCAAATAAAAACTAGACAGAAGCATTCTCATAAACTTCTTTGTGATGTGTGAACTCAGCTAACAGACGTGGATCTTTCTTTTGATACAGCAGTTTTGAGAAACACTTTGTTGAATCTGCAAGTGGACATTTGGATAGATTTGAAGATTTCGTTGGAAACGGGTATATCTTCATATCAAATCTAGACAGAAGCATTCTCAGAAACGTCTTTGTGATGTTTGCATTCAACTCATAGAGTTGAACATTCCGTTTCAGAGACCAGCTTTGAAGCACTCTTTTTGTAGTATGTGCAAGTGGATATTTGGAGCGCTTCTGAGGCCTACGGTGAAAAAGCAAATATCTTCCCATAACCACTAGACAGAAACATTCTCAGAAAATCCTTTATGACGTATGCACTCACCTAACAGAGAAGAACCTTCCTTTTGACAGAGCAGTTTTGATACACTCTTTTTGTAGAATCTGCAAGTGGATATTTGGATAGCTGTGAAGATTTCGTTGGAAACGGGAATATCTTCCTATAAAATCTAGACAGAAGCATTCTCAGAAACTGCTCTGTGATGTCTGCATTCAAGTCACAGAGTTGAACATTGCCTTTCATAGAGCAGGTTTCAAACACTCCTTTTTTAGTATATGGAAGTGGACGTTTCGGACGGTTTGAGTACCATGGTGATAAAGGAAATATCTTCCCCTACAAGCTAGAAAGAAGCATTCTGTGAAACTTGTTTGTGATGTGTGTACTCAACTAACAGAGTTGAACCTTTCTTTTTACAGAGCAGTTTTGAAACACTCTTTTTGTAGAATCTGTGAGGGGATATTTGGATAGATTTCAGGATTTCGTTGGAAACGGGAATATCTTCATATAAAATCTCGACAGAAGCATTCTCAGAAACTTCTTTGTGATATCTGCATTCAAGTCACAGAGTTGAATATTCCCTTTCACAGAGTAGGTTTGAAACACTCCTTTTGTAGTATCTGGAAGTGGACATTTGGAGCGCCTTGACGCCTACGGTGAAAAGGGAAATATCTTCCCATAAAAACTAGACAGAAGCAATCTCAGAATCATCTTTGGGATATATGCACGCAGCTAACAGAGTTCAACCTTTCTATTGACAGAGCAGTTTTGAAACAGTCTTTCTGTGGAATCTGCAAGTGGATATTTGGATAGCTTGGAGGATTTCGTTGGAAACGGGATTACGTATAAAAAGTAGACAGCAGCATCCTCAGAAACTTCTTTGTGATGTGTGCATTCAAGTCACAGAGTTGAACATTCCCTTTCGTACAGCAGTTTTGAAACACTCTTTCTGTATTATCTGGGAGTGAACATTAGGACAGCTTTCAGGTCTATGGTGAGAAAGGAAATATCTTCAAATAAAAACCAGACAGAAGAATTCTGATAAACTTGTTTGTGAAGTGTGAACTCAGCTAACAGAGGTGGATCTTTCTTTTGATACAGCAGTTTTGAAAAACACTTTGTTGAATCTGCAAGTGGACATTTGGATAGATTTGAAGATTTCGTTGGAAACGGGAATATCTTCATATCAAATCTAGACAGAAGCATTCTCAGAAACGTCTTTGTGATGTTTGCATTCAACTGATAGGGTTGAACATTCCCTTTCAGAGAGCAGCTTTGAAGCAATCTTTTTGTAGCATGTGCAAGTGGACATTTTGAGCGCTCTGAGGCCTATGGTGAAAAAGCAAATATCTTCCCATAACCACTAGACAGAAACATTCTCAGAAACTTCTTTATGACGTATGTACTCAACTAGCAGAAAAGAACTTTCCTTTTGACAGAGCTTTTTTGATACACTCTTTTTGTAGTATCTGCAAGTGGATATTTGGATAGCTGTAAAGATTTCGTTGGAATCGGGAATATCTTCCTATAAAGTCTGGACAGAAGCATTCTCAGAAACTGCTCTGTGATGTCTGCATTCAAGTCACAGAGTTGAACATTGCCTTTCATACAGCAGGTTTGAAATGCTCTTTTTGTAGTATATGGAAGTGGACGTTTCAGACGGTTTGAGGCCCATGGTGATAAAGGGAATATCTTCCGCTACAAGCTAGAAAGAAGCATTCTGTGAAACTTGTTTGTGATGTGTGTACTCAACTAACAGAGTTAAACCTTTCTTTTTACAGAACAGTTTTGAAACACTCTTGTTGTAGAATCTGCGAGGGGATATTTGGATAGATTTCAGGATTTCGTTGGAAACGGGAATATCTTCATATAAAATCTCGACAGAAGCATTCTCAGAAACTTCATTGTGATATGTGCATTCAAGTCACAGAGTTGAATATTCCCTTTCACAGAGTAGGTTTGAAACACTCTTTTTGTAGTATCTGGAAGTGGACATTTGGAGCGCTTTGACGCCTACGGTGAAAAGGGAAATATCTTCTCATAAAAACTAGACAGAAGCAATCTCAGAATCTTCTTTGGGATATATGCACGCAGCTAACAGAGTTGAACCTTTCTATTGACAGAGCAGTTTTGAAACAGTCTTTCTGTGGAATCTGCAAGTGGATATTTGGATAGCTTGGAGGATTTCGTTGGAAACGGGATTACAGTATAAAAAGTAGACAGCAGCATCCTCAGAAACTTCCTTGTGATGTGTGCATTCAAGACACACAGTTGAACATTCCCTTTCGTACAGCAGTTTTGAAACACTCTTTCTGTAGTATCTGGAAGTGAACATTAGGAGAGCTTTGAGGTCTATAGTGAGAAAGGGTATATCTTCAAATAAAAACTAGACAGAAGCATTCTCATAAACTTGTTTGTGATGTGTGAACTCATCTAACAGAGGTGGATCTTTCTTTTGATAGAGCAGTTCTGAAAAACACTTTTTGTGGAATCTGCAAGTGGACATTTGGATAGATTTGAAGATTTCGTTGGAAACGGGAATATCTTCATATCAAATCTAGACAGAAGCATTCTCAGAAACCTCTTTGTGATGTTTGCATTCAACTCATAGAGTTGAACATTCCGTTTCAGAGAGCAGCTTTGAAGCACTCTTTTTGTAGTATGTGCAAGTGGATATTTGGAGCGCTGTGAGGCCTACGGTGAAAAAGCAAATATCTTCCCATAACCACTAGACAGAAACATTCTCAGAAACTCCTTTATGACGTATGCACTCACCTAACAGAGAAGAACCTTCCTTTTGACAGAGCAGTTTTGATACACTCTTTTTGTAGAATCTGCAAGTGGATATTTGGATAGCTGTGAAGATTTCGTTGGAAACGGGAATTTCTTCCTATAAAATCTAGACAGAGGCATTCTCAGAAACAGCTCTGTGATGTCTGCATTCAAGTCACAGAGTTGAACATTGCCTATCATAGAGCAGGTTTGAAACGCTCTTTTTGAAGTATATGGAAGTGGACGTTTCAGACGGTTTGAGGCCCAGGGTGATAAAGGGAATATATTCCCCTACAAGCTAGAAAGAAGCATTCTGTGAAACTTGTTTGTGATGTGTGCACTCAACTAACAGAGTTGAACCTTTCTTTTTACAGAGCAGTTTTGAAACACTCTTTTTGTAGAATCTGTGAGGGGATATTTGGATACATTTCAGGATTTCGTTGGAAACGGGAATATCTTCATATAAAATCTCGACAGAAGCATTCTCAGAAACTTCTTTGTGATATGTGCATTCAAGTCACAGAGTTGAATATTCCCTTTCACAGAGTAGGTTTGAAACACTCTTTTTGTAGTATCTGGAAGTGGACATCTGGAGCGCCTTGACACCTACGGTGAAAAGGGAAATATCTTCCCATAAAAACTAGACAGAAGCAATCTCAGAATCTTCTTTGGGATATATGCACGCAGCTAACAGAGTTGAACCTTTCTATTGACAGAGCAGTTTTGAAACAGTCTTTCTGTGGAATCTGCAAGTGGATATTTGGATAGCTTGGAGGATTTCATTGGAAACGGGATTACGTATAAAAAGTAGACAGCAGCATCCTCAGAAACTTCTTTGTGATGTGTGCATTCAAGTCACAGAGTTGAACATTCCCTTTCGTACAGCAGTTTTGAAACACTCTTTCTGTAGCATCTTTAAGTGAACATTAGGACAGCTTTCAGGTCTATGGTGAGAAAGGAAATATCTTCAAATAAAAACTAGACAGAAGCATTCTCATAAACTTGTTTCTGATGTGTGAACTCAGCTAACAGAGGTGGATCTTTCTTTTGATAGAGCAGATCTGAAAAACACTTTTTGTTGAATCTGCAAGTGGACATTTGGATAGATTTGAAGATTTCGTTGGAAACGGGAATATCTTCATATCAAATCTAGACAGAAGCATTGTCAGAAACGTCTTTGTGATGTTTGCATTCAACTCATAGAGTTGAACATTCCCTTTCAGAGAGCAGCTTTGAAGCACTCTTTTTGTAGTATGTGCAAGTGGATATTTGGAGCGCTCTGAGGCCTTCGGTGAAAAAGCAAATATCTTCCCATAACCACTAGACAGAAACATTCTCAGAAACTCCTTTATGACGTATGCACTCACCTAACAGAGAAGAACCTTCCATTTGACAGAGCAGTTTTGATACACTCTTTTTGTAGAATCTGCAAGTGGATATTTGGATAGCTGTGAAGATTTCGCTGGAAACGGGAATATCTTCCTATAAAATGCTAGACAGAAGCATTCTCAGAAACTGCTCTGTGATGTCTGCATTCAAGTCACAGAGTTGAACATTGCCTTTCATAGAGCAGGTTTGAAACGCTCTTTTTGTAGTATATGGAAGTGGATGTTTCGGACGGTTGGAGGCCCATGGTGATAAAGGGATTATCTTCCCCTACAAGCTAGAAAGAAGCATTCTGTGAAACTTGTTTGTGATGTGTGTACTCAACTAACAGAGTTGAACCTTTCTTTTTACAGAGCAGTTTTGAAACACTCTTTTTGTAGAATCTGCGAGGGGATATTTGGATACATTTCAGCATTTCGTTGGAAACGGGAATATATTCATATAAAATCTCGACAGAAGCTTTCTCAGAAACTTCTTTGTGATATGTGCATTCAATTCACAGAGTTGAATATTCCCTTTCACAGAGTAGGTTTGAAACACTCTTTTTGTAGTATCTGGAAGTGGACATTTGGAGCGCCTTGACACCTACGGTGAAAAGGGAAATATCTTCCCATAAAAACTAGACAGAAGCAATCTCAGAATCTTCTTTGGGATATATGCACGCAGCTAACAGAGTTGAACCTTTCTATTGACAGAGCAGTTTTGAAACAGTCTTTCTGTGGAATCTGCAAGTGGATATTTGGATAGCTTGGAGGATTTCGTTGGAAACGGAATTACGTATAAAAAGTAGACAGCAGCATCCTCAGAAACTTCTTTGTGATGTGAGCATTCAAGTCACAGAGTTGAACATTCCCTTTCGTACAGCAGTTTTGAAACACTCTTTCTGTAGTATCTGGAAGTCAACGTTAGGACAGCTTTCAGCTCTATGGTGAGAAAGGAAATATCTTCAAATAAAAACTAGACAGAAACATTCTCATAAACTTGTTTGTGATGTGTGAACTCAGCTAAGAGACGTGGATCTTTCTTTTGATAGAGCAGTTCTGAAAAACACGTTTTGTTGAATCTGCAAGTGGACATTTGGATAGATTTGAAGATTTCGTTGGAAACGGGAATATCTTCATATCAAATCTAGACAGAAGCATTCTCAGAAACGTCTTTGTGATGTTTGCATTCAACTCATAGAGTTGAACATTCCGTTTCAGAGAGCAGCTTTGAAGCACTCTTTTTGTAGTATGTGCAAGTGGATATTTGGAGCGCTCTGAGTCCTACGGGGAAAAAGCAAATATCTTCCCATAACCACTAGACTGAAACATTCTCAGAAACTCCTTTATGACGTATGCACTCACCTAACAGAAACGAACCTTCCTTTTGACAGAGCAGTTTTGATACACTCTTTTTGTAGAATCTGCAAGTGGATATTTGGATAGCTGTGAAGATTTCATTGGAAACGGGAATATCTTCCTATAAAATCTAGACAGAAGCATTCTCAGAAACTGCTCTGTGATGTCTGCATTCAAGTCACAGAGTTGAACATTGCCTTTCATAGAGCAGGTTTGAAATGCTCTTTTTGTAGTATATGGAAGTGGACGTTTCAGACGGTTTGAGGCCCATGGTGATAAAGGGAATATCTTCCCCTGCAAGCTAGAAAGAAAGCATTGTGTGAAACTTGTTTGTGATGTGTGTACTCAACTAACAGAGTTGAACCTTTCTTTTCACAGAGCAGTTTTGAAACACTCTTTTTGTAGAATCTGCGAGGGGATACTTGGATAGATTTCAGGATTTCGTTGGAAACGGGAATATCTTCATATAAAATCTCGACAGAAGCATTCTCAGAAACTTCTTTGTGATATGTGCATTCAAGTCACAGAGTTGAATATTCCCTTTCACAGAGTAGGTTTGAAACACTCTTTTTGTAGTATCTGGAAGTGGACATTTGGAGCGCCTTGACACCTACGGTGAAAAGGGAAGTATCTTCCCATCAAAACTAGACAGAAGCAATCTCAGAATCTTCCTTGGGATATATGCACGCAACTAACAGAGTTGAACCTTTCTATTGACAGAGCAGTTTTGAAACAGTCTTTCTGTGGAATCTGCAAGTGGATATTTGGATAGCTTGGAGGATTTCCTTGGAAACGGGATTACGTATAAAAAGTAGACAGCAGCATCCTCAGAAACTACTTTGTGATGTGTGCATTCAAGTCACAGAGTTGAACATTCCCTTTCGTACAGCAGTTTTGAAACACTCTTTCTGTAGTATCTGGAAGTGAACATTAGGACAGCTTTCAGGTCTATAGTGAGAAAGGATATATCTTCAAATAAAAACTAGACAGAAGCATTCTCATAAACTTGTTTGTGATGTGTGAACTCAGCTAACAGAGGTGGATCTTTCTTTTGATAGAGCAGTTCTCAAAAACACTTTTTGTTGAATCTGCAAGTGGACATTTGGATAGATTTGAAGATTTCGTTGGAAACGGGAATATCTTCATATCAAATCTAGACAGAAGCATTCTCAGAAACGTCTTTGTGATGTTTGCATTCAACTCATAGAGTTGAACATTCCCTTTCAGAGAGCAGCTTTGAAACACTCTTTTTGTAGTATGTGCAAGTGGATATTTGGAGCGCTCTGAGGCCTACGGTGAAAAAGAAAATATCTTCCCATAACCACTAGACAGAAACATTCTCAGAAACTCCTTTATGACGGTATGCACTCACCTAACAGAGAAGAACCTTCCTTTTGACAGAGCAGTTTTGATACACTCTTTTTGTAGAATCTGCAAGTGGATATTTGGATAGCTGTGAAGATTTTGTTGGAAACGGGAATATCTTCCTATAAAATCTAGACAGAAGCATTCTCAGAAACTGCTCTGTGATGTCTGCATTCAAGTCACAGGGTTGAACATTGCCTTTCCTAGAGCAGGTTTGAAACGCTCTTTTTGTAGTATATGGAAGTGGACGTTTCGGACGGTTTGAGGCCCATGGTGATAAAGGGAATATCTTCCCCTACAAGCTAGAAAGAAGCATTCTGTGAAACTTGTTTGTGATGTGTGTACTCAACTAACAGAGTTGAACCTTTCTTTTTACAGAGCAGTTTTGAAACACTCTTTTTGTAGAATCTGCGAGGGGATATTTGGATAGATTTCAGGATTTCTTTGGAAACGGGAATATCTTCATATAAAATCTCGACAAAAGCATTCTCAGAAGCTTCTTTGTGATATGTGCATTCAAGTCACAGAGTTCAATATTCCCTTTCACAGAGTAGGTTTGAAACACTCTTTTTGTAGTATCTGGAAGTGGACATTTGGAGCGCCTTGACGCCTACAGTGAAAAGGGAAATATCTTCTCATAAAAAGTAGACAGAAGCAATCTCAGAATTTTCTTTGGGATATATGCACACAGCGAACTGAGTTGAACTTTTCTATTGACATAGCAGTTTTGAAACAGTCTTTCTGTGGAATCTGCAAGTGGATATTTGGATAGCTTGGAGGATTTCGTTGGAAATGGGATTACGTATAAAAAGTAGACAGCAGCATCCTCAGAAACATCCTTGTGATGTGTGCATTCAAGTCACAGAGTTGAACATTCCCTTTCGAACAGCAGTTTTGAAACACTCTTTCTGTAGTATCTGGAAGTGAACTTTAGGAGAGCTTTCAGGTCTATAGTGAGAAAGGATATATCTTCAAATAAAAACTAGACAGAAGCATTCTCATAAACTTGTTTGTGAAGTGTGAACTCAGCTAACAGAGGTGGATCTTTCTTTTGATAGAGCAGTTCTGAAAAACACTTTTTGTTGAATCTGCAAGTGGACATTTGGATAGATTTGAAGATTTCGTTGGAAACGGGAATATCTTCATATCAAATCTAGACAGAAGCATTCTCGGAAACGTCTTTGTGATGTTTGCATTCAACTCATAGAGTTGAACATTCCGTTTCAGAGAGCAGCTTTGAAGCACTCTTTTTGTAGTATGTGCAAGTGGATATTTGGAGCGCTGTGAGGCCTGCAGTGAAAAAGCAAATATCTTCCCATAACCACTAGACTGAAACATTCTCAGAAACTCCTTTATGACGTATGTACTCAACTAACAGAGAAGAACCTTCCTTTTGACAGAGCAGTTTTGATACACTCTTTTTGTAGAATCTGCAAGTGGATATTTGGATAGCTGTGAAGATTTCATTGGAAACGGGAATATCTTCCTATAAAATCTAGACAGAAGCATTCTCAGAAACTGCTCTGTGATGTCTGCATTCAAGTCACAGAGTTGAACATTGCCTTTCATAGAGCAGGTTTGAAACGCTCTTTTTGTAGTATATGGAAGTAGACGTTTCGGACGGTTTGAGGCCCATGGTGATAAAGGGAATATCTTCCCCTACAAGCTAGAAAGAAGCATTCTGTGAAACTTGTTTGTGATGTGTGTACACAACTAACAGAGTTGAACCTTTCTTTTTACAGAGCAGTTTTGAAACACTCTTTTTGTAGAATCTGCGAGGGGATATTTAGATAGATTTCAGGATTTCGTTGGAAACGGGAATATCTTCATATAAAATCTCGACAGAAGCATTCTCAGAAACTTCTTTGTGATATCTGCATTCAAGTCACAGAGTTGAATATTCCCTTTCACAGAGTAGGTTTGAAACACTCTTTTTGTAGTATCTGGAAGTGGACATTTGGAGCGCCTTGACGCCTACGGTGAAAAGGGAAATATCTTCCCATAAAAACTGGACAGAAGCAATCTCAGAATCTTCTTTGGGATATATGCACACAGCTAACAGAGTTGAACCTTTCTATTGACAGAGCAGTTTTGAAACAGTCTTTCTGTGGAATCTGCAAGTGGATATTTGGATAGCTTGGAGGATTTCGTTGGAAACGGGATTACGTATAAAAAGTAGACAGCAGCATCCTCAGAAACTTCTTTGTGATGTGTGCATTCAAGTCACAGAGTTGAACATTCCCTTTCGTACAGCAGTTTTGAAACACTCTTTCTGTAGTATCTGGAAATGAACATTAGGACAGCTTTCAGCTCTATGGTGAGAAAGGAAATATCTTCAAATAAAAACTAGACAGAAGCATTCTCATAAACTTGTTCGTGATGTGTGAACTCAGCTAAGAGCCGTGGATCTTTCTTTTGATAGAGCAGTTCTGAAAAACACTTTTTGTTGAATCTGCAAGTGGACATTTGGATAGATTTGAAGATTTCGTTGGAAACGGGAATATCTTCATATCAAGTCCAGACAGAAGCATTCTCAGAAACGTCTTTGTGATGTTGGCATTCAACTCATAGAGTTGAACATTCCGTTTCAGAGAGCAGCTTTGAGGCACTCTTTTTGTAGTATGTGCAAGTGGATATTTGGAGCGCTCTGAGGCCTACGGTGAAAAAGCAAATATCTTCCCATAACCACTAGACAGAAACATTCTCAGAAACTCCGTTATGACGTATGCACTCACCTAACAGAGAAGAACCTTCCTTTTGACTGAGCAGTTTTGATACACTCTTTTTGCAGAATCTGCAAGTGGATATTTGGATAACTGTGAAGATTTCGTTGGAAACGGGAATATCTTCCTATAAAATCTAGACAGAAGCATTCTCAGAAACTGCTCTGTGATGTCTGCATTCAAGTCACAGAGTTGAACATTGCCTTTCATGGAGCAGGTTTGAAACGCTCTTTTTGTAGTATATGGAAGTGGACGATTCGGACGGTTTGAGGCCCATGGTGATAAAGGGAATATCTTCCCCTACGAGCTAGAAAGAAGCATTCTGTGAAACTTGTTTGTGATGTGTGCACTCAACTAACAGAGTTGAACCTTTCTCTTTACAGAGCAGTTTTGAAACACTCTTTTTGTAGAATCTGCGAGGGGATATTTGGATACATTTCAGGATTTCGCTGGAAACGGGAATATCTTCATATAAAATCTCGACAGAAGCATTCTCAGAAACTTCTTTGTGATATCTGCATTCAAGTCACAGAGTTGAATATTCCCTTTCACAGAGTAGGTTTGAAACACTCTTTTTGTAGTATCTGGAAGTGGACATTTGGAGCGCCTTGACGTCTACGGTGAAAACGGAAATATCTTCCCATAAAAACTAGACAGAAGCAATCTCAGAATCTTCTTTGGGATATATGCACGCAGCTAATAGAGTTGAACCTTTCTATTGACAGAGCAGTTTTGAAACAGTCTTTCTGTGGAATCTGCAAGTGGATATTTGGATAGCTTGGGGGATTTCTTTGGAAACGGGATTACGTATAAAAAGTAGACAGCAGCATCCTCAGAATCTTCCTTGTGACGTGTGCATTCAAGTCACAGAGTTGAACATTCCCTTTCGTACAGCAGTTTTGAAAAACTCTTTCTGTAGTATCGGGAAGTGAACTTTAGGAGAGCTTTCAGGTCTATAGTGAGAAAGGATATATCTTCAAATAAAAACTAGACAGATTCTTTTGATAGAGCATCAGCTAACAGACGTGGATCTTTCTTTTGATACAGCAGTTTTGAAAAACACTTTTTGTTGAATCTGCAAGTGGACATTTGGATAGATATGAAGATTTCGTTGGAAACGGGAATATCTTCATATCAAATCTAGACAGAAGCATTCTCAGAAACGTCTTTGTGATGTTTGCATTCAACTCATAGAGTTGAACATTCCCTTTCAAAGAGCAGCTTTGAAGCACTCTTTTTGTAGTATGTGCAAGGGGATATTTGGAGCTCTCTGAGGCCTAAGGTGAAAAAGCAAATATCTTCCCATAACCACTAGACAGAAACATTCTCAGAAACTCCTTTATGACGTATGTACTCAACTAACAGAGAAGAACCTTCCTTTTGACAGAGCAGTTTTGATACACTCTTTTTGTAGAATCTGCAAGTGGATATTTGGATAGCTGTGAAGATTTCTTTGGAAACGGGAATATCTTCCTATAAAATCTAGACAGAAGCATTCTCAGAAACTGCTCTGTGATGTCTGCATTCAAGTCACAGAGTTGAACATTGCCTTTCATAGAGCAGGTTTGAAACGCTCTTTTTGTAGTATATGGAAGTGGTCTTTTCGGACGGTTTGAGGCCCATGGTGATAAAGGGAATATCTTCCCCTACAAGCTAGAAAGAAGCATTCTGTGAAACTTGTTTGTGATGTGTGTACTCAACTAACAGAGTTGAACCTTCCTTTTTACAGAGCAGTTTTGAAACACTCTTTTTGTAGAATCTGCGAGGGGATATTTGGATAGATTTCAGGATTTCTTTGGAAACGGGAATATCTTCATATAAAATCTCGACAGAAGCATTCTCAGAAACTTCTTTGTGATATGTGCATTCAAGTCACAGTAGTTGAATATTCCCTTTCACAGAGTAGGTTTGAAACACTCTTTTTGTAGTATCTGGAAGTGGACATTTGAAGCGCCTTGACGCCTACGGTGAAAAGGGAAATATCTTCCCATAAAAACTAGACAGAAGCAATCTCAGAATCTTCTTTGGGATATATGCACGCAGCTAACAGAGTTGAACCTTTCTATTGACAGAGCAGTTTTGAAACATTCTTTCTGTGGAATCTGCAAGTGGATATTTGGATAGCTTGCAGGATTTCGTTGGAAACGGGATTACGTATAAAAAGTAGACAGCAGCATCCTCAGAAACTTCTTTGTGATGTGTGCATTCAAGTCACAGAGTTGAACATTCCCTTTCGTACAGCAGTTTTGAAACACTCTTTCTGTAGTATCTGGAAGTGAACATTAGGACAGCTTTCAGGTCTATGGTGAGAAAGGAAATATCTTCAAATAAAAACTAGACAGCAGCATTCTCATAAACTTGTTTGTGATGTGTGAACTCAGCTAACAGGAGGTGGATCTTTCTTTTGATAGAGCAGTTCTGAAAAACACTTTTTGTTGAATCTGCAAGTGGACATTTGGATAGATTTGAATATTTCGTTGGTAACGGGAATATCTTCATATCAAATCTAGACAGAAGCATTCTCAGAAACGTCTTTGTGATGTTTGCATTCAACTCATAGAGTTGAACATTCCCTTTCAGAGAGCAGCTTTGTGGCACTCTTTTTGTAGTATGTGCAAGTAGATATTTGGAGCGCTCTGAGGCCTACGGTGAAAAAGCAAATATCTTCCCATAACCACTAGACAGAAAACATTCTCAGAAACTCCTTTATGAGGTATGCACTCACCTAACAGAGAAGAACCTTCCTTTTGACAGAGCAGTTTTGATACACTCTTTTTGTAGAATCTGCAAGTGGATATTTGGATACCTGTGAAGATTTCGTTGGAAACGGGAATATCTTCCTATAAAATCTAGACAGAAGCATTCTCAGAAACTGCTCTGTGATGTCTGCATTCAAGTCACAGAGTTGAACATTGCCTTTCATAGAGTATGTTTGAAACGCTCTTTTTGTAGTATATGGAAGTAGACGTTTCGGACGGTTTGAGGCCCATGGTGATAAAGGGAATATCTTCCCCTACAAGCTAGAAAGAAGCATTGTGTGAAACTTGTTTGTGATGTGTGTACTCAACTAACAGAGTTGAACCTTTCTTTTTACAGAGCAGTTTTGAAACACTCTTTTTGTAGAATCTGCGAGGGGATATTTGGATACATTTCAGGATTTCCTTGGAAACGGGAATATCTTCATATAAAATCTCGACAGAAGCATTCTCAGAAACTTCTTTGTGTTATCTGCATTCAAGTCACAGAGTTGAATATTCCCTTTCACAGAGTAGGTTTGAAACACTCTTTTTGTAGTGTCTGGAAGTGGACATTTGGAGCACATTGACACCTACGGTGAAAAGGGAAATATCTTCCCATAAAAACTAGACAGAAGCAATCTCAGAATCTTCTTTGGGTTATATGCACGCAGCTAACAGAGTTGAACCTTTCTATTGACAGAGCAGTTTTGAAACAGTCTTTCTGTGGAATCTGCAAGTGGATATTTGGATAGCTTGGAGGATTTCGTTGGAAACGGGATTACGTATAAAAAGTAGACAGCAGCATCCTCAGAAACTTCTTTGTGATGTGTGCATTCAAGTCACAGAGTTGAACATTCCCTTTCGTACAGCAGTTTTCAAACACTCTTTCTGTAGTAACTGGAAGTGAACATTAGGACAGCTTTCAGCTCTATGGTGAGAAAGGAAATATCTTCAAATAAAAACTAGACAGAAGCATTCTCATAAACTTGTTTGTGATGTCTGAACTCAGCTAACAGAGGTGGATCTTTCTTTTGATAGAGCAGTTCTGAAAAACACTTTTTGTTGAATCTGCAAGTGGACATTTGGATAGATTTGAAGATTTCATTGGAAACGGGAATATCTTCATATCAAATCTAGACAGAAGCATTCTCAGAAACGTCTTTGTGATGTTTGCATTCAACTCATAGAGTTGAACATTCCCTTTCAGAGAGCAGCTTTGAAGCACTCTTTTTGTAGCATGTGCAAGTGGACATTTGGAGCGCCCTGAGGCCTACGGGGAAAAAGGAAATATCTTCCCATAACCACTAGACAGAAACATTCTCAGAAACTCCTTTATGACGTATGCACTCACCTAACAGAGAAGAACCTTCTTTTGACAGAGGAGTTTTGATACACTCTTTTTGTAGAATCTGCAAGTGGATATTTGGATAGCTGTGAAGATTTCGTTGGAAACGGGAATATCTTCCTATAAAATCTAGACAGAAGCATTCTCAGAAACAGCTCTGTGATGTCTGCATTCAAGTCACAGAGTTGAACATTGCCTTTCATAGAGCAGGTTTGAAACGCTCTTTTTGTAGTATATGGAGGTGGACGTTTCGGACGGTTTGAGACCCATGGTGATAAAGGGAATATATTCCCCTACAAGCTAGAAAGAAGCACTCTGTGAAACTTGTTTGTGATGTGTGTACTCAACTAACAGTGTTGAACCTTTCTTTTTACAGAGCAGTTTTGAAACACTCTTTTTGTAGAATCTGCGAGGGGATATTTGGATAGATTTCAGGATTTCGTTGGAAACGGGAATATCTTCATATAAAATCTCGACAGAAGCATTCTCAGAAACTTCCTTGTGATATGTGCATTCAAGTCACAGAGTTGAATATTCCCTTTCACAGAGTAGGTTTGAAACACTCTTTTTGTAGTATCTGGAAGTGGACATTTAGAGCGCCTTGACGCCTACGGTGAAAAGGGAAATATCTTCCCATAAAAACTAGACAGAAGCAATCTCAGAATCTTCTTTGGGATATATGCACGCAGCTAACAGAGTTGAACCTTTCTATTGACAGAGCAGTTTTGAAACAGTCTTTCTGTGGAATCTGCAAGTGGATATTTGGATAGATTGGAGGATTTCTTTGGAAACGGGATTAGGTATAAAAAGTAGACAGCAGCATCCTCAGAAACTTCTCTGTGATGTGTGCATTCAAGTCACAGAGTTGAACATTCCCTTTCGTACAGCAGTTTTGAAACACTCTTTCTGTAGTATCTGGAAGTGAACATTAGGACAGCTTTCAGCTCTATGGTGAGAAAGGAAATATCTTCAAATAAAAACTAGACAGAAGCATTCTGATAAACTTGTTTGTGAAGTGTGAACTCAGCTAACAGAGGTGGATCTTTCTTTTGATAGAGCAGTTCTGAAAAACACTTTTTGTTGAATCTGCAAGTGGACATTTGGATAGATTTGAAGATTTCGTTGGAAACGGGAATATCTTCATATCAAATCTAGACAGAAGCATTCTCGGAAACGTCTTGGTCATGTTTGCATTCAACTCATAGAGTTGAACATTCCCTTTCAGAGAGCAGCTTTGAAGCACTCTTTTTGTAGTATGTGCAAGGGGATATTTGGAGCGCTCTGAGGCCTAAGGTGAAAAAGCAAATATCTTCCCATAACCACTAAACAGAAACATTCTCAGAAACTCCTTTATGACGTATGCACTCACCTAACAGAAAAGAACCTTCCTTTTGACAGAGCAGTTTTGATACACTCTTTTTGTAGAACCTGCAAGTGGATATTTGGATAGCTGTGAAGATTTCGTTGGAAACGGGAATATCTTCCTATAAAATCTAGACAGAAGCATTCTCAGAAACTGCTCTGTGATGTCTGCATTCAACTCACAGAGTTGAACATTGCCTTTCATAGAGCAGGTTTGAAACGCTCTTTTTGTAGTATATGGAAGTGGACGTTTCAGACGGTTTGAGGCCCATGGTGATAAAGGGAATATCTTCCCCTACAAGCTAGAAAGAAGCATTCTGTGAAACTTGTTTGTGATGTGTGTACTCAACTAACAGAGTTGAACCTTTCTTTTTCCAGAGCAGTTTTGAAACACTCTTTTTGTAGAATCTGCGAGGGGATATTTGGATACATTTCAGGATTTCGTTGGAAACGGGAATATCTTCATATAAAATCTCGACAGAAGCATTCTCAGAAAACTTCTTTGTGATATGTGCATTCAAGTCAGAGAGTTGAATATTCCCTTTCACAGAGTAGGTTTGAAACACTCTTTCTGTAGTATCTGGAAGTGGACATTTTGAGCACCTTGACGCCTACGGTGAAAAGGGAAATATCTTCTCATAAAAAGTAGACAGAAAGCAATCTCAGAATCTTCTTTGGGATATATGCACGCAGCTAACAGAGTTGAACATTTCTATTGACAGAGCAGTTTTGAAACAGTCGTTCTGTGGAATCTGCAAGTGGATATTTCGATAGCTTGGAGGATTTCGTTGGAAACGGGATTACGTATCAAAAGTACACAGCAGCATCCTCAGAAACTACTTTGTGATGTGTGCATTCAAGTCACAGAGTTGAACATTCCCTTTCGTACAGCAGTTTTGAAACACTCTTTCTGTAGTATCTGGAAGTGAACATTAGGACAGCTTGCAGGTCTATGGTGAGAAGGGAAATATCTTCAAATAAAAACTAGACAGAAGCATTCTCATAAACTTGTTTGTGATGTGTGAACTCAGCTAACAGACGTGAATCTTTCTTTTGATACAGCAGTTTTAAAAACACTTTTTGTTGAATCTGCAAGTGGACATTTGGATAGATTTGAAGATTTCGTTGGAAACGGGAATATCTTCATATCAAATCTAGACAGAAGCATTCTCAGAAACGTTTTTGTGATGTTTGCATTCAACTCATAGAGTTGAACATTCCCTTTCAGAGAGCAGCTTTGAAGCACTCTTTTTGTAGCATGTGCAAGTGGACATTTGGAGCGCCCTGAGGCCTACGGGGAAAAAGCAAATATCTTCCCATAACCACTAGACAGAAACATTCTCAGAAACTCCTTTATGACGTATGCACTCACCTAACAGAGAAGAACCTTCCTTTTGACAGAGCAGTTTTGATACACTCTTTTTGTAGAATCTGCAAGTGGATATTTGGATAGCTGTAAAGATTTCGTTGGAAACGGGAATATCTTCCTATAAAATCTAGACAGAAGCATTCTCAGAAACTGCTCTGTGATGTCTGCATTCAAGTGACAGAGTTGAACATTGCCTTTCATAGAGCAGGTTTCAAACACTCTTTTTTTAGTATATGGAAGTGGACGTTTCGGACGGTTTGAGAACCATGGTGATAAAGGAAATATCTTCCCCTACAAGCTAGAAAGAAGCATTGTGTGAAACTTGTTTGTGATGTGTGTACTCAACTAACAGAGTTGAACCTTTCTTTTTACAGAGCAGTTTTGAAACACTCTTTTTGTATAATCTGCGAGGGGATATTTGGATACATTTCAGGATTTCGTTGGAAACGGGAATATCTTCATATAAAATCTCGACAGAAGCATTCTCAGAAGCTTCTTTGTGATATGTGCATTCAAGTCACACAGTTGAATATTCCCTTTCACAGAGTAGGTTTGAAACACTCTTTTTGTAGTATCTGGAAGTGGACATTTGGAGCGCCTTGACGCCTACGGTGAAAAGGGAAATATCTTCTCATAAAAAGTAGACAGAAGCAATCTCAGAATCTTCTTTGGGATGTATGCACGCAGCTAACAGAGTTGAACCTTTCTATTGACAGAGCAGTTTTGAAACAGTCTTTTTGTGGAATCTGCAAGTGGATATTTGGATAGCTTGGAGGATTTCGTTGGAAACGGGATTACGTATAAAAAGTAGACAGCAGCATCCTCAGAAACTTCTTTGTGATGTGTGCATTGAAGTCACAGAGTTGAACATTCCCTTTCGTACAGCAGTTTTGAAACACTCTTTCTGTAGTATCTGGAAGTGAACATTAGGACAGCTTTCAGGTCTATGGTGAGAAAGGAAATATCTTCAAATAAAAACTAGACAGAAGCATTCTCATAAACTTGTTTGTGATGTGTGAACTCAGCTAAGAGACCTGGATCTTTCTTTTGATAGAGCAGTTCTGAAAAACACTTTTTGTTGAATCTGCAAGTGGACATTTGGATAGATTTGAAGATTTCTTTGGAAACGGGAATATCTTCATATCAAATCTAGACAGAAGCATTCTCAGAAACGTCTTTGTGATGTTTGCATTCAACCCATAGAGTTGAACATTCCGTTTCAGAGAGCAGCTTTGAAGCACTCTTTTTGTAGTATGTGCAAGGGGATATTTGGAGCGCTCTGAGGCCTAAGGTGAAAAAGCAAATATCTTCCCATAACCACTAGACAGAAACATTCTCAGAAACTCCTTTATGACGTATGTACTCAACTAACAGAGAAGAACCTTCCTTTTGACAGAGCAGTTTTGATACACTCTTTTTGTAGAATCTGCAAGTGGATATTTGGATAGCTGTGAAGATATCGTTGGAAACGGGAATATCTTCCTATAAAATCTAGACAGAAGCATTCTCAGAAACTGCTCTGTGATGTCTGCATTCAAGTCACAGAGTTGAACATTGCTTTTCATAGAGCAGGTTTGAAACGTTCTTTTTGTAGTATATGGAAGTAGACGTTTCGGACGCTTTGAGGCCCATGGTGATAAAGGGAATATCTTCCCCTACAAGCTAGAAAGAAGCATTCTGTGAAACTTGTTTGTGATGTGTGTACTCAACTAACAGAGTTGAACCTTTCTTTTTACAGAGCAGTTTTGAAACACTCTTTTTGTAGAATCTGCGAGGGGATATTTGGATAGATTTAGGATTTCGTTGGAAACGGGAATATCTTCATATAAAATCTCGACAGAAGCATTCTCAGAAACTTCTTTGTGATATCTGCCTTTAAGTCACAGAGTTGAATATTCCCTTTCACAGAGTAGGTTTGAAACACTCTTTTTGTAGTATCTGGAAGTGGACATTTGGAGCGCATTGACGCCTACGGTGAAAAGGGAAATATCTTCCCATAAAAACTAGACAGAAGCAATCTCAGAATTTTCTTTGGGATATATGCACACAGCTAACAGAGTTGAACTTTTCTATTGACATAGCAGTTTTGAAACAGTCTTTCTGTGGAATCTGCAAGTGGATATTTGGATAGCTTGGAGGATTTCGTTGGAAATGGGATTACGTATAAAAAGTAGACAGCAGCATCCTCAGAAACTTCTTTGTGATGTGTGCATTCAAGTCACAGAGTTGAACATTCCCTTTCGTACAGCAGTTTTGAAACACTCTTTCTGTAGTGTCTGGAAGTGAACATTAGGACAGCTTTCAGGTCTATGGTGAGAAAGGAAATATCTTCAAATAAAAACTAGACAGAAGCATTCTCATAAACTTGTTTGTGATGTGTGAACTCAGCTAAGAGACGTGGATCTTTCTTTTGATAGAGCAGTTCTGAAAAACACGTTTTGTTGAATCTGCAAGTGGACATTTGGATAGATTTGAAGATTTCGTTGGAAACGGGAATATCGTCATATCAAATCTAGACAGAAGCATTCTCGGAAACGTCTTTGTCATGTTTGCATTCAACTCATAGAGTTGAACATTCCGTTTCAGAGAGCAGCTTTGAAGCACTCTTTTTGTAGTATGTGCAAGTGGATATTTGGATCGCTCTGAGGCCTAAGGTGAAAAAGCAAATATCTTCCCATAACCACTAGACAGAAACATTCTCAGAAACTCCTTTATGACGTATGCACTCACCCAACAGAGAAGAACCTTCCTTTTGACAGAGCAGTTTTGATACACTCTTTTTGTAGAATCTGCAAGTGGATATTTGGATAGCTGTGAAGATTTCGTTGGAAACGGGAATATCTTCCTATAAAATCTAGACAGAAGCATTCTCAGAAACTGCTCTGTGATATCTGTATTCAAGTCACAGAGTTGAACATTGCCTTTCATAGAGCAGGTTTGAAACGCTCTTTTTGTAGTATATGTAAGTGGATGTTTCGGACGGTTGGAGGCCCATGGTGATAAAGGGAATATCTTCCCCTACAAGCTAGAAAGAAGCATTCTGTGAAACTTGTTTGTGATGTGTGTACTCAACTAACAGAGTTGAACCTTTCTTTTTACAGAGCAGTTTTGAAACACTCTTTTTGTAGAATCTGCGGGGGGATATTTGGATAGATTTCAGGATTTCGTTGGAAACGGGAATATCTTCATATAAAATCTCGACAGAAGCATTCTCAGAAACTTCTTTGTGATATCTGCATTCAGGTCACAGAGTTGAATATTCCCTTTCACCGAGTAGGTTTGAAACATTCTTTTTGTAGTATCTGGAAGTGGACATTTGGAGCGCCATGACGCCTACGGTGAAAAGGGAAATATCTTCCCATAAAAACTAGACAGAAAGCAATCTCAGAATCTTCTTTGGGATATATGCACGCAGCTAACAGAGTTGAACCTTTCTATTGACAGAGCAGTTTTGAAACAGCCTTTCTGTGGAATCTGCAAGTGGATATTTGGATAGCTTGGAGGATTTCGTTGGAAACGGGATTACGTATAAAAAGTAGACAGCAGCATCCTCAGAAACTTCTTTGTGACGTGTGCATTCAAGTCACAGAGTTGAACATTCCCTTTCGTACAGCAGTTTTGAAACACTCTTTCTGTAGTATCTGGAAGTGAACATTAGGACAGCTTTCAGCTCTATGGTGAGAAAGGAAATATCTTCAAATAAAAACTAGACAGAAGCATTCTCATTAACTTGTTTGTGATGTGTGAACTCAGCTAACAGAGGTGGATCTTTCTTTTGATAGAGCAGTTCTGAAAAACATTTTTTGTTGAATCTGCAAGTGGACATTTAGATAGATTTGAAGATTTCGTTGGAAACGGGAATATCTTCATATCAAATCTAGACAGAAGCCTTCTCAGAGACGTCTTTGTGATGTTTGCATTCAACTCATAGAGTTGAACATTCCGTTTCAGAGAGCAGCTTTGAGGCACTCTTTTTGTAGTATGTGCAAGTGGATATTTGGAGCGCTCTGAGGCCTACGGTGAAAAAGCAAATATCTTCCCATAACCACTAGACAGAAACATTCTCAGAAACTCCTTTACGACGTATGCACTCACCTAACAGAGAAGAACCTTCCTTTTGACAGAGCAGTTTTGATACACTCTTTTTGTAGAATCTGCAAGTGGATATTTGGATAGCTGTGAAGATTTCGTTGGAAACGGGAATATCTTCCTATAAAATCTAGACAGAAGCATTTTCAGAAACTGCTCTGTGATGTCTGCATTCAAGTCACAGAGTTGAACATTGCCTTTCATAGAGCAGGTTTGAAACGCTCTTTTTGTAGTATATGGAAGTGGATGTTTCGGACGGTTGGAGGCCCATGGTGATAAAGGGAATATCTTCCCCTACAAGCTAGAAAGAAGCATTCTGTGAAACTTGTTTGTGATATGTGCACTCAACTAACAGAGTTGAACCTTTCTTTTTACAGAGCAGTTTTGAAACACTCTTTCTGTAGAATCTGCGAGGGGATATTTGGATAGATTTCAGGATTTCGTTGGAAACGGGAATATCTTCATATAAAATCTCGACAGAAGCATTCTCCGAAACCTCTTTGTGATATATGCATTGAAGTTACAGAGTTGAATATTCCCTTTCACATAGCAGGTTTGAAACACTCTTTTTGTAGTATCTGGAAGTGGACATTGGGAGCGCTTTGACGCCAATGGTGAAAAAGGAAATATCTTCCCATAAAAACTACACAGAAGCAATCTCAGAATCTTCTTTGGGATATATGCACGCAGTTAACAGAGTTGAACCTTTCTATTGACAGAGCAGTTTTGAAACAGTCTTTCTGTGGAATCTGCAAGTGGATATTTGGATAGCTTGGAGGATTTCGTTGGAAACGGGATTACGTATAAAAAGTAGACAGCAGCATCCTCAGAAACTTCTTTGTGATGTGTGCATTCAAGTCACAGAGTTGAACATTCCCCTTCGTACAGCAGTTTTGAAACACTCTTTGTGTATTATCTGGGAGTGAACATTAGGACAGCTTTCAGGTCTATGGTGAGAAAGGAAATATCTTCAAATAAAAACTAGACAGAAGCATTCTCATAAACTTGTTTGTGATGTGTGAACTCAGCTAACAGACGTGGATCTTTCTTTTGATACAGCAGTTTTGAAAAACACTTTTTGTTGAATCTGCAAGTGGACATTTGGATAGATATGAAGATTTCGTTGGAAACGGGAATATCTTCATATCAAATCTAGACAGAAGCATTCTCAGAAACGTCTTTGTGATGTTTGCATTCAACTCATAGAGTTGAACATTCCGTTTCCAAGAGCAGCTTTGAGGCACTCTTTTTGTAGTATGTGCAAGTGGATATTTGGAGCGCTCTGAGGCCTACGGTGAAAAAGCAAATATCTTCCCATAACCACTAGACAGAAACATTCTCAGAAACTCCTTTATGACGTATGTACTCAACTAACAGAGAAGAACCTTCCTTTTGACAGAGCAGGTTTGATACACTCTTTTTGTAGAATCTGCAAGTGGATATTTGGATAGCTGTGAAGATTTCGTTGGAAACGGGAATATCTTCCTATAAAATCCAGACAGAAGCATTCTCAGAAACTGCTCTGTGATGTCTGCATTCAAGTCACAGAGTTGAACATTGCCTTTCCTAGAGCAGGTTTGAAACGATCTTTTTGTAGTATATGGAAGTGGACGTTTCGGACGGTTTGAGGCCCATGGTGATAAAGGGAATATCTTCCCCTACAAGCTAGAAAGAAGCATTCTGTGAAACTTGTTTGTGATGTGTGTACTCAACTAACAGAGTTGAACCTTTCTTTTTACAGAGCAGTTTGGAAACACTCTTTTTGTAGAATCTGCGAGGGGATATTTGGATAGATTTCAGGATTTCGTTGGAAACGGGAATATCTTCATATAAAATCTCGACAGAAGCATTCTCAGAAACTTCTTTGTGATATCTGCATTCAAGTCACAGAGTTGAATATTCCCTTTCACAGAGTAGGTTTGAAACACTCTTTTTGTAGTATCTGGAAGTGGACATTTGGAGCGCCTTGACGCCTACGGTGAAAAGGGAAATATCTTCCCATAAAAACTAGACAGAAGCAATCTCAGGAATCTTCTTTGGGATATATGCACGCAGCTAACAGAGTTGAACCTTTCTATTGACAGAGCAGTTTTGAAACAGTCTTTCTGTGGAATCTGCAAGTGGATATTTGGATAGCTTGGAGGATTTCGTTGGAAACGGGATTAAGTATAAAAAGTAGACAGCAGCATCCTCAGAAACTTCTTTGTGCGGTGTGCATTCAAGTCACAGAGTTGAACATTCCCTTTCGTACAGCAGTTTTGAAACACTCTTTCTGTAGTATCTGGAAGTGAACATTAGGACAGCTTTCAGGTCTATGGTGAGAAAGGAAATATCTTCAAATAAAAACTAGACAGAAGCATTCTCATAAACTTGTTTGTGATGTGTGAACTCAGCTAACAGAGGTGGATCTTTCTTTTGATAGAGCAGTTCTGAAAAACACTTTTTGTTGATTATGCAAGTGGACATTTGGATAGATTTGAAGATTTCGTTGGAAACGGGAATATCTTCATATCAAATGTAGACAGAAGCATTCTCAGAAACGTCTTTGTGATGTTTGCATTCAACTCACAGAGTTGAACATTCCGTTTCAGAGAGCAGCTTTGAAGCACTCTTTTTGTAGTATGTGCAAGTGGATATTTGGAGCGCTCTGAGGCCTACGGTGAAAAAGCAAATATCTTCCCATAACCACTAGACAGAAACATTCTCAGAAACTCCTTTATGACGTATGCACTCACCTAACAGAGAAGAACCTTCCTTTTGACAGAGCAGTTTTGATACACTCTTTTTGTAGAATCTGCAAGTGGATATTTGGATAGCTGTGAAGATTTCGTTGGAAACGAGAATATCTTCCTATAAAATCTAGACAGAAGCATTCTCAGAAACTGCTCTGTGATGTCTGCATTCAAGTCACAGAGTTGAACATTGCTTTTCATAGAGCAGGTTTGAAACGCTCTTTTTGTAGTATATGGAAGTAGACGTTTCGGACGGTTTGAGGCCCATGGTGATAAAGGGAATATCTTCCCCTACAAGCTAGAAAGAAGCATTCTGTGAAACTTGTTTGTGATGTGTGTACTCAACTAACAGAGTTGAACCTTTCTTTTTACAGAGCAGTTTTGAAACACTCTTTTTGTAGAATCTGCGAGGGGATATTTTGATACATTTCAGCATTTCGTTGGAAACGGGAATATCTTCATATAAAATCTCGACAGAAGCATTCTCAGAAACTTCCTTGTGATATGTGCATTCAAGTCACAGAGTTGAATATTCCCTTTCACAGAGTAGGTTTGAAACACTCTTTTTGTAGTATCTGGAAGTGGTCATTTGGAGCGCCTTGACGCCTACGGTGAAAAGGGAAATATCTTCCCATAAAAACTAGACAGAAGCAATCTCAGAATCTTCTTTGTGATATATGCACGCAGCTAACAGAGTTGAACCTTTCTATTGACTGAGCAGATTTGAAACAGTCTTTCTGTGGAATCTGCAAGTGGATATTTGGATAGATTGGAGGATTTCGTTGGAAACGGAATTACGTATAAAAAGTAGACAGCAGCATCCTCAGAAACTTCTTTGTGATGTGTGCATTCAAGTCACAGAGCTGAACATTCCCTTTCGTACAGCAGTTTTGAAACACTCTTTCTGTAGTATCTGGAAGTGAACATTAGGACAGCTTTCAGGTCTATGGTGAGAAAGGAAATATCTTCAAATAAAAACTAGACAGAAACATTCTCATAAACTTGTTTGTGATGTGTGAACTGAGCTAACAGAGGTGGATCTTTCTTTTGATAGAGCAGTTCGGAAAAACACTTTTTGTTGAATCTGCAAGTGGACATTTGGATAGATTTGAAGATTTCGTTGGAAACGGGAATATCTTCATATCAAATCTAGACAGAAGCATTCTCAGAAACGTCTTTGTGATGTTTGCATTCAACTCATAGAGTTGAACATTCCCTTTCAGAGAGCAGCTTTGAAGCACTCTTTTTGTAGCATGTGCAAGTGGACATTTGGAGCGCTCTGAGGCCTACGGTGAAAAAGCAAATATCTTCCCATAACCACTAGACAGAAACATTCTCAGAAACTCCTTTATGAAGTATGCACTCACCTAACAGAGAAGAACCTTCCTTTTGACAGAGCAGTTTTGATAAACTCTTTTTGTAGAATCTGCAAGTGGATATTTGGATAGCTGTGAAGATTTCGTTGGAAACGGGAATATCTTCCTATAAAATCTAGACAGAAGCATTCTCAGAAACTGCTCTGCGATGTCTGCATTCAAGTCACAGAGTTGAACATTGCTTTTCATAGAGCAGGTTTGAAGCGCTCTTTTTGTAGTATATGGAAGTAGACGTTTCGGACGGTTTGAGGCCCATGGTGATAAAGGGAATATCTTCCCCTACAAGCTAGAAAGAAGCATTCTGAGAAACTTGTTTGTGATGTGTGTACTCAACTAAGAGAAGTGAACCTTTCTTTTTACAGAGCAGTTTTGAAACACTCTTTTTCTAGAATCTGCGAGGGGATATTTGGATAGATTTCAGAATTTCGTTGTAAACGGGAATATCTTCATATAAAATCTCGACAGAAGCATTCTCAGGAAACTTCTTTGTGATATCTGCATTCAAGTCACAGAGTTGAATATTCCCTTTCACAGAGTAGGTTTGAAACACTCTTTTTGTAGTATCTGGAAGTGGACATTTGGAGCACCTTGACACCTACGGTGAAAAGGGAAATATCTTCCCATAAAAACTAGACAGAAGCAATCTCAGAATCTTCTTTGGGATATATGCACGCAGCTAACAGAGTTGAACCTTTCTATTGACAGAGCAGTTTTGAAACACTCTTTCTGTGGAATCTGCAAGTGGATATTTGGATAGCTTGGAGGATTTCGTTGGAAACGGGATTACGTATAAAAAGTAGACAGCAGCATCCTCAGAAACTTCTTTGTGATGTGTGCATTCAAGTCACAGAGTTGAACATTCCCTTTCGTACAGCAGTTTTGAAACACTCTTTCTGTAGTATCTGGAAGTGAACATTAGGACAGCTTTCAGGTCGATGGTGAGAAAGGAAATATCTTCAAATAAAAACTAGATAGAAGCATTCTCATAAACTTGTTTGTGATGTGTGAACGCAGCTAACACACGTGGATCTTTCTTTTGATAGAGCAGTTCTGAAAAACACTTTTTGTTGAATCTGCAAGTGGACATTTGGATAGATTTGAAGATTTCGTTGGAAACGGGAATATCTTCATATCAAATCTAGACAGAAAGCATTCTCAGAAACGTCTTTGCGATGTTTGCATTCAACTCATAGAGTTGAACATTCCGTTTCAGAGAGCAGCTTTGAGGCACTCTTTTTGTAGTATGTGCAAGTGGATATTTGGAGCGCTCTGAGGCCTACGGTGAAAAAGCAAATATCTTCCCATAACCACTAGACAGAAACATTCTCAGAAACTCCTTTATGACGTATGCACTCACCTAACAGAGAAGAACCTTCCTTTTGACAGAGCAGTTTTGATACACTCTTTTTGTAGAATCTGCAAGTGGATATTTGGATAGCTGTGAAGATTTCGTTGGAAACGGAAATATCTTCCTATAAAATCTAGACAGAAAGCATTCTCAGAAACTGCTCTGTGATGTCTGCATTCAAGTCACAGAGTTGAACATTGCCTTTCATAGAGCAGGTTTGAAACGCTCTTTTTGTAGTATATGGAAGTAGACGTTTCGGACGGTTTGAGGCCCATGGTGATAAAGGGAATATCTTCCCCTACAAGCTAGAAAGAAGCATTCTGTGAAACTTGTTTGTGATGTGTGTACTCAAGTAACAGAGTTCAACCTTTCTTTTTACAGAGCAGTTTTGAAACACTCTTTTTGTAGAATCTGCGAGGGGATATTTGGATAGATTTCAGGATTTCGTTGGAAACGGGAATATCTTCATATAAAATCTCGACAGAAGCATTCTCAGAAACTTCTTTGTGATATCTGCATTCAAGTCACAGAGTTGAATATTCCCTTTCACAGAGTAGGTTTGAAACACTCTTTTTGTAGTGTCTGGAAGTGGACATTTGGAGCACATTGACAACTACGGTGAAAAGGGAAATATCTTCCCATAAAAACTAGACAGAAGCAATCTCAGAATCTTCTTTGGGATATATGCACGCAGCTAAGAGAGTTGAACCTTTCTATTGACAGAGCAGTTTTGTAACAGTCTTTCTGTGGAATCTGCAAGTGGATATTTGGATAGCTTGGAGGATTTCGTTGGAAACGGGATTACCTATAAAAAGTAGACAGCAGCATCCTCAGAAACTTCTTTGTGATGTGTGCATTCAAGTCACAGAGTTGAACATTCCCTTTCGTACAGCAGTTTTGAAAAACTCTTTCTGTAGTGTCTGGAAGTGAACATTAGGACAGCATTCAGGTCTATGGTGAGAAAGGAAATATCTTCAAATAAAAACTACACAGAAGCATTCTCATAAACTTGTTTGTGATGTGTGAACTCAGCTAAGAGACGTGGATCTTTCTTTTGATAGAGCAGTTCTGAAAAACACTTTTTGTTGAATCTGCAAGTGGACATTTGGATAGATTTGAAGATTTCTTTGGAAATGGGAATATCTTCATATCAAATCTAGAGAGAAGCATTCTCAGAAACGTCTTTGTCATGTTTGCATTCAACTCATAGAGTTGAACATTCCCTTTCAGAGAGCAGCTTTGAAACACTCTTTTTGTAGTATGTGCAAGTGGATATTTGGAGCGCTCTGAGGCCTACGGTGAAAAAGAAAATATCTTCCCATAACCACTAGACAGAAACTTTCTCAGAAACTCCTTTATGACGTATGTACTCAACTAACAGAGAAGAACCTTCCTTTTGAGAGAGCAGTTTTGATACACTCTTTTTGTAGAAACTGCAAGTGGATATTTGGATAGCTGTGAAGATTTCGTTGGAAACGGGAATATCTTCCTATAAAATCTAGACAGAAGCATTCTCAGAAACTGCTCTGTGATGTCTGCATTCAAGTCACAGAGTTGAACATTGCCTTTCATAGAGCAGGTTTGAAATGCTCTTTTCGTAGTATATGGAAGTGGACTTTTCGGACGGTTTGAGGCCCATGGTGATAAAGGGAATATCTTCCCCTACAAGCTAGAAAGAAGCATTCTGTGAAACTTTTTTGTGATGTGTGTACTCAACTAACAGAGTTGAACCTTTCTTTTTACAGAGCAGTTTTGAAACACTCTTTTTGTAGAATCTGCGAGGGGATATTTGGATAGATTTCAGGATTTCGTTCGAAACGGGAATATCTTCATATAAAATCTCGACAGAAGCATTCTCAGAAGCTTCTTTGTGATATGTGCATTCAAGTCACAGAGTTGAATATTCCCGTTCACAGAGTAGGTTTGAAACACTCTTTTTGTAGTATCTGGAAGTGGACATTTGGAGCGCCCTGACGCCTACGGTGAAAAGGAAAATATCTTCTCATAAAAAGTAGACAGATAAGCAATCTCAGAATCTTCTTTGGGATATATGCACGCAGCTAACAGAGTTGAACCTTTCTATTGACAGAGCAGTTTTGAAACAGTCTTTCTGTGGAATCTGCAAGTGGATATTTGGATAGCTTGGAGGATTTCGTTGGAAACGGGATTACGTATAAAAAGTAGACAGCAGCATCCTGAGAAACTTCCTTGTGATGTGTGCATTCAAGTCACAGAGTTGAACATTCCCTTTCGTACAGCAGTTTTGAAACACTCTTTCTGTAGTATCTGGAAGTGAACATTAGGACAGCGTTTCAGGTCTATGGTGAGAAAGGAAATATCTTCAAATAAAAACTAGACAGAAGCATTCTCATAAACTTGTTCGTGATGTGTGAACTCAGCTAAGAGCCGTGGATCTTTCTTTTGATAGAGCAGTTCTGAAAAACACTTTTTGTTGAATCTGCAAGTGGACATTTGGATAGATTTGAAGATTTCTTTGGAATCGGGAATATCTTCATATCAAATCTAGACAGAAGCATTCTCAGAAACGTCTTTGTGATGTTTGCATTCAACTCATAGAGTTAAACATTCCGTTTCAGAGAGCAGCTTTGAAGCACTCTTTTTGTAGTATGTGCAAGTGGATATTTGGAGCGCTCTGAGGCCTACGGTGAAAAAGCAAATATCTTCCCATAACCACTAGACAGAAACATTCTCAGAAACTCCTTTATGACGTATGCACTCACCTAACAGAGAAGAACCTTCCTTTTGACAGAGCAGTTTTGATACACTCTTTTTGTAGAATCTGCAAGTGGATATTTGGATACCTGTGAAGATTTCGTTGGAAACGGGAATAACTTCCTATAAAATCTAGACAGAAGCATTCTCAGAAACTGCTCTGTGATGTCTGCATTCAAGTCACAGAGTTGAACATTGCCTTTCATAGAGCAGGTTTGAAACGCTCTTTTTGTAGTATATGGAAGTGGATGTTTCGGACGGTTGGAGCCCCATGGTGATAAAGGGAATATCTTCCCCTACAAGCTAGAAAGAAGCATTCTGTGAAACTTGTTTGTGATGTGTGTACTCAACTAACAGAGTTGAACCTTTCTTTTCACAGAGCAGTTTTGAAACACTCTTTTTGTAGAATCTGCGAGGGGATATTTGGATAGATTTCAGGATTTCGTTGGAAACGGGAATATCTTCATATAAAATCTCGACAGAAGCATTCTCAGAAACTTCATTGTGATATGCGCATTCTAGTCACAGAGTTGAATATTCCCTTTCACAGAGTAGGTTTGAAACACTCTTTTTGTAGTATCTGGAAGTGGACATTTGGAGCGCCTTGACGCCTACGGTGAAAAGGGAAATATCTTCCCATAAAAAGTAGACAGAAGCAATCTCAGAATCTTCTTTGGGATATATGCACGCAGCTAACAGAGTTGAACCTTTCTATTGACAGAGCAGTTTTGAAACAGTCTTTCTGTGGAATCTGCAAGTGGATATTTGGATAGCTTGGAGGATTTCGTTGGAAACGGGAGTACGTATAAAAAGTAGACAGCAGCATCCTCAGAAACTTCTTTGTGAGGTGTGCATTCAAGTCACAGAGTTGAACATTCCCTTTCGTGCAGCAGTTTTGAAACACTCTTTCTGTAGTATCTGGAAGTGAACATTAGGACAGCTTTCAGGTCTATGGTGAGAAAGGAAATATCTTCAAATAAAAACTAGACAGAAGCATTCTCATAAACTTGTTTGTGATGTCTGAACTCAGCTAACAGAGGTGGATCTTTCTTTTGATAGAGCAGTTCTGAAAAACACTTTCTGTTGAATCTGCAAGTGGACATTTGGATAGATTTGAAGATTTCGTTGGAAACGGGAAGATCTTCATATCAAATCTAGACAGAAGCATTCTCAGAAACGTCTTTGTGATGTTTGCATTCAAATCATAGAGTTGAACATTCCCTTTCAGAGAGCAGCTTTGAAGCATTCTTTTTGTAGTATGTGCAAGGGGATATATGGAGCGCTCTGAGGCCTAAGGTGAAAAAGCAAATATCTTCCCATAACCACTAGACAGAAACATTCTCAGAAACTCCTTTATGACGTATGCACTCACCTAACAGAGAAGAACCTTCCTTTTGACAGAGCACTTTTGATACACTCTTTTTGTAGAATCTGAAAGTGGATATTTGGATAGCTGTGAAGATTTCGTTGGAAACGGGAATATCTTCCTATAAATTCTAGACAGAAGCATTCTCAGAAACTGCTCTGTGATGTCTGCATTCAAGTCACAGAGTTGAACATTGCCTTTCCTAGAGCAGGTTTGAAACGCTCTTTTTGTAGTATATGGAAGTGGACGTTTCGGACGGTTTGAGGCCCACGGTGATAAAGGGAATATCTTCCCCTACAAGCTAGAAAGAAGCATTCTGTGAAACTTGTTTGTGATGTGTGTACTCAAGTAACAGAGTTGAACCTTTCTTTTTACAGAGCAGTTTTGAAACACTCTTTCTGTAGAATCTGCGAGGGGATATTTGGATACATTTCAGGATTTCGTTGGAAACGGGAATATCTTCATAGAAAATCTCGACAGAAGCATTCTCAGAAACTTCTTTGTGATATGTGCATTAAAGTCACAGAGTTGAATATTCCCTTTCACAGAGTAGGTTTGAAACACTCTTTTTGTAGTATCTGGAAGTGGACATTTGGAGCGCCTTGACGCCCTACGGTGAAAAGGGAAATATCTTCCCATAAAAACTAGACAGAAGCAATCTCAGAATCTTCTTTGGGATATATGCACGCAGCTAACAGAGTTGAACCTTTCTATTGACAGAGCAGTTTTGAAACAGTCTTTCTGTGGAATCTGCAAGTGGATATTTGGATAGCTTGGAGGATTTCGTTGGAAACGGGATTAAGTATAAAAAGTAGACAGCAGCATCCTCAGAAACTTCTTTGTGATGTGTGCATTCAAGTCACAGAGTTGAGCATTCCCTTTCGTACAGCAGTTTTCAAACACTCTTTCTGTAGTAACTGGAAGTGAACATTAGGACAGCTTTCAGGTCTATGGTGAGAAAGGAAATATCTTCAAATAAAAACTAGACAGAAGCATTCTGATAAACTTGTTTGTGAAGTGTGAACTCAGCTAACAGAGGTGGATCTTTCTTTGGTACAGCAGTTTTGAAAAACACTTTGTTGAATCTGCAAGGGGACATTTGGATAGATTTGAAGATTACGTTGGAAACGGGAATATCTTCATATCAAATCTAGACAGAAGCATTCTCGGAAACGTCTTTGTGATGTTTGCATTCAACTCATAGAGTTGAACATTCCGTTTCAGAGAGCAGCTTTGAGGCACTCATTTTGTAGTATGTGCAAGTGGACATTTGGAGCGCTCTGAGGCCTTCGGTGAAAAAGCAAATATCTTCCCATAACCACTAGACAGAAACATTCTCACAAACTCCTTTATGACGTATGTACTCAACTAACAGAGAAGAACCTTCCTTTTGACAGAGCAGTTTTGATACACTCTTTTTGTAGAATCTGCAAGTGGATATTTGGATAGCTGTGAAGATTTCGTTGGAAACGGGAATATCTTCCTATAAAATCTAGACAGAAGCATTCTCAGAAACTGCTATGTGATGTCTGCATTCAAGTCACAGAGTTGAACATTGCCTTTCCTAGAGCAGGTTTGAAACGCTCTTTTTGTAGTATATGGAAGTGGAAGTTTCGGACGGTTTGAGGCCCATGGTGATAAAGGGAATATCTTCCCCTACAAGCTAGAAAGAAGCATTCTGTGAAACTTGTTTGTGATGTGTGTACTCAACTAATAGAGTTGAACCTTTCTTTTTACAGAGCAGTTTTGAAACACTCTTTTTGTAGAATCTGCGAGGGGATATTTGGATAGATTTCAGGATTTCGTTGGAAACGGGAATATCTTCATATAAAATCTCGACAGAAGCATTCTCAGAAGCTTCTTTGTGATATGTGCATTCAAGTCACAGAGTTCAATATTCCCTTTCACAGAGTAGGTTTGAAACACTCTTTTTGTAGTATCTGGAAGTGGACATTTGGAGAGCCTTGACGCCTACGGTGAAAAGGGAAATATCTTCTCATAAAAAGTAGACAGAAGCAATCTCAGAATCTTCTTTGGGATATATGCACGCAGCTAACAGAGTTGAACCTTTCTATTGACAGAGCAGTTTTGAAACAGTCTTTCTGTGGAATCTGCAAGTGGATATTTGGATAGCTTGGAGGATTTCGTTGGAAACGGGATTACGTAGAAAAAGTAGACAGCAGCATCCTCAGAAACTTCTTTGTGATGTGTGCATTCAAGTCACAGAGTTGAACATTCCCTTTCGTACAGCAGTTTTGAAACACTCTTTCTGTAGTATCTGGAAGTGATCATTAGGACAGCTTTCAGGTCTATGGTGAGAAAGGAAATATCTTCAAATAAAAACTAGACAGAAGCATTCTCATAAACTTGTTTGTGATGTGTGAACTCAGCTAACAGAGGTGGATCTTTCTTTTGATAGAGAAGTTCTGAAAAACACTTTTTGTTGAATCTGCAAGTGGACATTTGGATAGATTTGAAGATTTCGTTGGAAACGGGAATATCTTCATATCAAATCTAGACAGAAGCATTCTCAGAAACGTCTTTGTGATGTTTGCATTCAACTCATAGAGTTGAACATTCCGTTTCAGAGAGCAGCTTTGAGGCACTCTTTTTGTAGTATGTGCAAGTGGATATTTGGAGCGCTCTGAGGCCTACGGTGAAAAAGCAAATATCTTCCCATAACCACTAGACAGAAACATTCTCAGAAACTCCTTTATGACGTATGCACTCACCTAACAGAGAAGAACTTTCCTTTTGACAGAGCAGTTTTGATACACTCTTTTTGTAGAATCTGCAAGTGGATATTTGGATAGCTGTGAAGATTTCGTTGGAAACGGGAATATCTTCCTATAAAATCTAGACAGAAGCATTCTCAGAAACTGCTCTGTGATGTCTGCATTCAAGTCACAGAGTTGAACATTGCCTTTCATAGAGCAGGTTTGAAACGCTCTTTTTGTAGTATATAAAAGTGGACGTTTCGGACGGTTTGAGGCCCATGGTCATAAAGGGAATATCTTACCCTACAAGCTAGAAAGAAGCATTCTGTGAAACTTGTTTGTGATGTGTGTACTCAACTAACAGCAGTTGAACCTTTCTTTTCACAGAGCAGTTTTGAAACACTCTTTTTGTAGAATCTGCGAGGGGAAATTTGGATAGATTTCAGGATTTCGTTGGAAACGGGAATATCTTCATACAAAATCTCGACAGAAGCATTCTCAGAAACTTCCTTGTGATATGTGCATTCGAGTCACAGAGTTGAATATTCCCTTTCACAGAGTAGGTTTGAAACACTCTTTTTGTAGTATCTGGAAGTGGACATTTGGAGCGCCTGGACGCCTACGGTGAAAAGGGAAATATCTTCCCATAAAAACTAGACAGAAGCAATCTCAGAATCTTCTTTGGGATTTATGCACGCCGCTAACAGAGATGAACCTTTCTATTGACAGAGCAGTTTTGAAACAGTCTTTCTGTGGAATCTGCAAGTGGATATTTGGATAGCTTGGAGGATTTCGTTGGAAACGGGATTACGTATAAAAAGTAGACAGCAGCATCCTCAGAAACTTCTTTGTGATGTGTGCATTCAAGTCACAGAGTTGAACATTCCCTTTCGTACAGCAGTTTTGAAACACTCTTTCTGTAGTATCTGGAAGTGAACATTAGGACAGCTTTCAGCTCTATGGTGAGAAAGGAAATATCTTCAAATAAAAACTAAACAGAAGCATTCTCATAAACTTGTTTGTGATGTGTGAACTCAGCTAACACACGTGGATCTTTCTTTTGATAGAGCAGTTCTGAAAAACACTTTTTGTTGAATCTGCAAGTGGACATTTGGATAGATTTGAAGATGTCGTTGGAAACGGGAATATCTTCATATCAAATCTAGACGGAAGCATTCTCAGAAACGTCTTTGTGATGTTTGCATTCAACTCATAGAGTTGAACATTCCGTTTCAGAGAGCAGCTTTGAAGCACTCTTTTTGTAGTATGTGCAAGCGGATATTTGGAGCGCTCTGAGGCCTACGGTGAAAAAGCAAATATCTTCCCATAACCACTAGACAGAAACATTCTCAGAAACTCCTTTATGACGTATGCACTCACCTAACAGAGAAGAACCTTCCTTTTGACAGAGCAGTTTTGAAACACTCTTTTTGTAGAATCTGCAAGTGGATATTTGGATACCTGTGAAGATTTCGTTGGAAACGGGAATATCTTCCTATAAAATCTAGACAGAAGCATTCTCAGAAACTGCTCTGTGATGACTGCATTCAAGTCACAGAGTTGAACATTGCCTTTCCTAGAGCAGGTTTGAAACGCTCTTTTTGTAGTATATGGAAGTGGACGTTTCGGACGGTTTGAGGCCCATGGTGATAAAGGGAATATCTTCCCCTACAAGCTAGAAAGAAGCATTCTGTGAAACTTGTTTGTGATGTGTGTACTCAACTAACAGAGTTGAACCTATCTTTTTACAGAGCAGTTTTGAAACACTCTTTTTGTAGAATCTGCGAGGGGATATTTGGATAGATTTCAGGATTTCGTTGGAAACGGGAATATCTTCATATAAAATCTCGACAGAAGCATTCTCAGAAACTTCTTTGTGATATCTGCATTCAAGTCACAGAGTTGAATATTCCCTTTCACAGAGTAGGTTTGAAACACTCTTTTTGTAGTATCTGGAAGTGGACATTTGGAGCGCCTTGACCGCTACGGTGAAAAGGGAAATATCTTCCCATAAAAACTAGACAGAAGCAATCTCAGAATCTTCTTTGGGATATATGCACGCAGCTAACAGAGTTGAACCTTTCTATTGACAGAGCAGTTTTGAAACAGTCTTTCTGTGGAATCTGCAAGTGGATATTTGGATAGTTGGAGGATTTCATTGGAAACGGGATTACGTATAAAAAGTAGACAGCAGCATCCTCAGAAACTTCTTTGTGATGTGTGCATTCAAGTCACAGAGTTGAACATTCCCTTTCGTACAGCAGTTTTGAAACACTCTTTCTGTAGTATCTGGAAGTGAACATTAGGACAGCTTTCAGCTCTATGGTGAGAAAGGAAATATCTTCAAATATAAACTAGACAGAAGCATTTTCATAAACTTGTTTGTGATGTGTGAACTCAGCTAACAGAGGTGGATCATTCTTTTGATAGAGCATCAGCTAACAGACGTGGATCTTTCTTTTGATACAGCAGTTTTGAAAAACACTTTTTGTTGAATCTGCAAGTGGACATTTGGATAGATATGAAGATTTCGTTGGAAACGGGAATATCTTCATATCAAATCTAGACAGAAGCATTCTCAGAAACGTCTTTGTGATGTTTGCATTCAACTCATAGAGTTGAACATTCCCTTCCAGAGAGTAGCTTTGAAGCACTCTTTTTGTAGCATGTGCAAGTGGACATTTGGAGCGCTCTGAGGCCTACGGGGAAAAAGCAAATATCTTCCCATAACCACTAGACAGAAACATTCTCAGAAACTCCTTTATGACGTATGCACTCACCTAACAGAAAAGAACCTTCCTTTTGACAGAGCAGTTTTGATACACTCTTTTTGTAGAATCTGCAAGTGGATATTTGGATAGCTGCGAAGATTTCGTTGGAAACGGGAATATCTTCCTATAAAATCTAGACAGAAGCATTCTCAGAAACTGCTCTGTGATGTCTGCATTCAAGTCACAGAGTTGAACATTGCCTTTCATAGAGCAGGTTTGAAACGCTCTTTTTGTAGTATATGGAAGTGGATGTTTCGGACGGTTGGAGGCCCATGGTGATAAAGGGAATATCTTTCCCTACAAGCTAGAAAGAAGCATTCTGTGAAACTTGTTTGTGATGTGTGTACTCAACTAACAGAGTTGAACCTTTCTTTTTACAGAGCAGTTTTGAAACACTCTTTTTGTAGAATCTGCGAGGGGATATTTGGATAGATTTCAGGATTTCGTTGGAAACGGGAATATCTTCATATAAAATCTCGACGGAAGCATTCTCAGAAACTTCTTTGTGATATGTGCATTCAAGTCACAGAGTTGAATATTCCCTTTCACAGAGTAGGTTTGAAACACTCTTTTTGTAGTATCTGGAAGTGGACATTTGGAGCGCCTTGACACCTATGGTGAAAAGGGAAATATCTTCCCATAAAAACTAGACAGAAGCAATCTCAGAATCTTCTTTGGGATATATGCACGCAGCTAACAGAGTTGAACCTTTCTATTGACAGAGCAGTTTAGAAACAGTCCTTCTGTGGAATCTGCAAGTGGATATTTGGATAGCTTGGAGGATTTCTTTGGAAACGGGATTACGTATAAAAAGTAGACAGCAGCATCCTCAGAAACTTCTTTGTGATGTGTGCATTCAAGTCACAGAGTTGAACATTCCCTTTCGTACAGCAGTATTGAAACACTCTTTCTGTAGTATCTAGAAGTGAACATTAGGACAGCTTTCAGGTCTATGGTGAGAAAGGAAATATCTTCAAATAAAAACTAGACAGAAGCATTCTCATAAACTTGTTTGTGATGTGTGAACTCAGCTAACAGAGGTGGATCTTTCTTTTGATAGAGCAGTTCTGAAAAACACTTTTTGTTGAGTCTGCAAGTGGACATTTGGATAGATTTGAAGATTTCGTTGGAAACGGGAATATCTTCATATCAAATCTAGACAGAAGCATTCTCAGAAACGTCTTTGTGATGTTTGCATTCAACTCATAGAGTTGAACATTCCCTTTCAGAGAGCAGCTTTGAAGCACTCTTTTTGTAGTATGTGCAAGTGGATATTAGGAGCGCTCTGAGGCCTAAGGTGAAAAAGCAAATATCTTCCCATAACCACTAGACAGAAACATTCTCAGAAACTCCTTTATGACGTATGCACTCACCTAACAGAGAAGAACCTTCCTTTTGACAGAGCAGTTTTGATACACTCTTTTTGTAGAATCTGCAAGTGGATATTTGGATAGCTGTGAAGATTTCGTTGGAAAGGGGAATATCTTCCTATAAAATCTAGACAGAAGCATTCTCAGAAACTGCTCTGTGATGTCTGCATTCAAGTCACAGAGTTTAACATTGCCTTTCATAGAGCAGGTTTGAAACGCTCTTTTTGTAGTATATGGAAGTGGACTTTTCGGACGGTTTGAGGCCCATGGTGATAAAGGGAATATCTTCCCCTACAAGCTAGAAAGAAGCATTCTGTGAAACTTGTTTGTGATGTGTGTACTCATCTAACAGAGTTGAACCTTTCTTTTTACAGAGCAGTTTTGAAACACTCTTTTTGTAGAATCTGCGAGGGGATATTTGGATACATTTCAGCATTTCGTTGGAAACGGGAATATCTTCATATAAAATCTCGACAGAAGCATTCTCAGAAACTTCTTTGTGATATGTGCATTCAAGTCACAGAGTTGAATATTCCCTTTCACAGAGTAGGTTTGAAACACTCTTTTTGTAGTATCTGGAAGTGGACATTTGGAGCGCTTTGACACCTACGGTGAAAAGGGAAATATCTTCCCATAAAAACTAGACAGAAGCAATCTCAGAATCTTCTTTGGGATATATGCACGCAGCCAACAGAGTTGAACCTTTCTATTGACAGAGCAGTTTTGAAACAGTCTTTCTGTGGAATCTGCAAGTGGATATTTGGATAGCTTGGAGGATTTCGTTGGAAACGGGATTACGTATAAAAAGTAGACAGCAGCATCCTCAGAAACTTCTTTGTGATGTGTGCATTCAAGTCACAGAGTTGAACATTCCCTTTCGTACAGCAGTTTTGAAACACTCTTTCTGTAGCATCTGGAAGTGAACATTAGGACAGCTTTCAGCTCTATGGTGAGAAAGGAAATATCTTCAAATAAAAACTAGACAGAAGCACTCTCATAAACTTGTTTGTGATGTGTGAACTCAGCTAACAGAGGTGGATCTTTCTTTTGATAGAGCAGTTCTGAAAAACACTTTTTGTTGAATCTGCAAGTGGACATTTGGATAGATTTGAAGATTTCGTTGGAAACGGGAATATCTTCATATCAAATCTAGACAGAAGCATTCTCAGAAACGTCTTTGTGATGTTTGCATTCAACTCATAGAGTTGAACATTCCCTTTCAGAGAGCAGCTTTGAAGCACTCTTTTTGTAGCATGTGCAAGTGGACATTTGGAGCGCCCTGAGGCCTACGGGGAAAAAAGCAAATATCTTCCCATAACCACTAGACAGAAACATTCTCAGAAAATTCTTTATGACGTATGTACTCAACTAGCAGAGAAGAACTTTCCTTTTGACAGAGCAGTTTTGATACACTCTTTTTGTAGAATCTGCAAGTGGATATTTGGATAGCTGTGAAGATTTCGCTGGAAACGGGAATATCTTCCTATAAAACCTAGACAGAAGCATTCTCAGAAACAGCTCTGTGATGTCTGCATTCAAGTCACAGAGTTGAACATTGCCTTTCATAGAGCAGGTTTGAAACGCTCTTTTTGTAGTATATGGAAGTGGACGTTTCGGACGGTTTGAGACCCATGGTGATAAAGGGAATATATTCTCCTACAAGCTAGAAAGAAGCATTCTGTGAAACTTGTTTGTGATGTATGTACTCAACTAACAGAGTTGAACCTTTCTTTTTACAGAGCAGTTTTGAAACACTCTTTTTGTAGAATCTGCGAGGGGATATTTGGATACATTTCAGGATTTCGTTGGAAACGGGAATATCTTCATAGAAAATCTCGACAGAAGCATTCTCAGAAACTTCCTTGTGATATGTGCATTCAAGTCACAGAGTTGAATATTCCCTTTCACAGAGTAGGTTTGAATCACTCTTTTTGTAGTATCTGGAAGTGGACATTTGGAGCGCCTTGACACCTAAGGTGAAAAGGGAAATATCTTCCCATAAAAACTAGACAGAAGCAATCTCAGAATCTTCTTTGGGATATATGCACGCAGCTAACAGAGTTGAACCTTTCTATTGACTGAGCAGATTTGAAACAGTCTTTCTGTGGAATCTGCAAGTGGATATTTGGATAGATTGGAGGATATCGTTGGAAACGGGATTACGTATAAAAAGTAGACAGCACCATCCTCAGAAACTTCTTTGTGATGTGTGCATTCAAGTCACAGAGTTGAACATTCCCTTTCGTACAGCAGTTTTGAAGCACTCTTTCTGTAGTATCTGGGAGTGAACATTAGGACAGCTTTCAGGTCTATGGTGAGAAAGGAAATATCTTCAAATAAAAACTAGACAGAAGCATTCTCATAAACTTGTTTGTGATGTGTGAACTCAGCTAACAGAGATGGATCTTTCTTTTGATAGAGCAGTTCTGAAAAACACTTTTTGTTGAATCTGCAAGTGGACATTTGGATAGATTTGAAGATTTCGTTGGAAACGGGAATATCTTCATATCAAATCTAGGCAGAAGCATTCTCAGAAACGTCTTTGCGATGTTTGCATTCAACTCATAGAGTTGAACATTCCGTTTCAGAGAGCAGCCTTGAGGCACTCTTTTTGTAGTATGTGCAAGTGGATATTTGGAGCGCTCTGAGGCCTACGGTGAAAAAGCAAATATCTTCCCATAACCACTAGACAGAAACATTCTCAGAAACTCCTTTATGACGTATGTACTCAACTAACAGAGAAGAACCTTCCTTTTGACAGAGCAGTTTTGATACACTCTTTTTGTAGAATCTGCAAGCGGATATTTGGATAGCTGTGAAGATCTCGTTGGAAACGGGAATATCTTCCTATAAAATCTAGACAGAAGCATTCTCAGAAACTGCTCTGTGATGTCTGCATTCAAGTCACAGAGTTGAACATTGCCTTTCATAGAGCAGGTTTGAAACGCTCTTTTTGTAGTATATGGATGTGGACGTTTCGGACGGTTTGAGGCCCATGGTGATAAAGGGAATATCTTCCCCTACAAGCTAGAAAGAAGCATTCTGTGAAACTTGTTTGTGATGTGTGTACTCAACTAACAGAGTTGAACCTTTCTTTTCACAGAGCAGTTTTGAAACACTCTTTTTGTAGAATCTGCGAGGGGATATTTGGATAGATTTCACCATTTCGTTGGAAACGGGAATATCTTCATATAAAATCTCGACAGAAGCATTCACAGAAACTTCTTTGTGATATCTGCATTCAAGTCACAGAGTTGAATATTCCCTTTCACAGAGTAGGTTTGAAACACTCTTTGTGGTATCTGGAAGTGGACATATCGAGCACCTTGACGCCTACGGTGAAAAGGGAAATATCTTCCCATAAAAACCAGACAGAAGCAATCTCAGAATCTTCTTTGGGATATATGCACGCAGCTAACAGAGTTGAATCTTTCTGTTGACAGAGCAGATTTGAAACAGTCTTTCTGTGGAATCTGCAAGTGGATATTTGGATAGATTGGAGGATTTCGTTGGAAACGGGATTACGTATAAAAAGTAGACAGCAGCATCCTCAGAAACTTCTTTGTGATGTGTGCATTCAAGTCACAGAGTTGAACATTCCCTTTCGTACAGCAGTTTTGAAACACTCTTTCTGTAGTATCTGGAAGTGAACATTAGGACAGATTTCAGCTCTATGGTGAGAAAGGAAATATCTTCAAATAAAAACTAGACAGAAGCATTCTCATAAACTTGTTTGTGATGTGTGAACTCATCTAACAGAGGTGGATCTTTCTTTTGATAGAGCAGTTCTGAAAAACACTTTTTGTTGAATCTGCAAGTGGACATTTGGATAGATTTGAAGATTTCGTTGGAAACGGGAATATGCTTCATATCAAATCTAGACAGAAGCATTCTCAGAAATGTCTTTGTGATGTTTGCATTCAACTCATAGAGTTGAACATTCCCTTTCAGAGAGCAGCTTTGAAGCACTCTTTTTGTAGTATGTGCAAGGGGATATTTGGAGCGCTCTGAGGCCTAAGGTGAAAAAGCAAATATCTTCCCATAACCACTAGACAGAAACATTCTCAGAAACTGCTTTATGACGTATGCACTCACCTAACAGAGAAGAACCTTCCTTTTGACAGAGCAGTTTTGATACACTCTTTTTGTAGAATCTGCAAGTGGATATTTGGATAGCTGTGAAGATTTCGTTGGAAACGGGAATATCTTCCTATAAAATCTAGACAGAAGCATTCTCAGAAACTGCTCTGTGATGTCTGCATTCAAGTCACAGAGTTGAACATTGCCTTTCATAGAGCAGGTTTGAAACGCTCTTATTGTAGTATATGGAAGTGGACTTATCGGACGGTTTGAGGCCCATGGTGATAAAGGGAATATCTTCCCCTACAAGCTAGAAAGAAGCATTCTGTGAAACTTGTTTGTGATGTGTGTACTCAACTAACAGAGTTGAACCTTTCTTTTCACAGAGCAGTTTTGAAACACTCTTTTTGTAGAATCTGCGAGGGGAAATTTGGATAGATTTCAGGATTTCGTTGGAAACGGGAATATCTTCATACAAAATACTCGACAGAAGCATTCTCAGAAACTTCTTTGTGATATGTGCATTCAAGTCACAGAGTTGAATATTCCCTTTCACAGAGTAGGTTTGAAACACTCTTTTTGTAGTATCTGGAAGTGGACATTTGGAGCGCCTTGACGCCTACAGTGAAAAGGGAAATATCTTCTCATAAAAAGTAGACAGAAGCAATCTCAGAATCTTCTTTGGGATATATGCACGCAGCTAACAGAGTTGAACCTTTCTATTGACAGAGCAGTTTTGAAACAGTCTTTCTGTGGAATCTGAAAGTGGATATTTGGATAGCTTGGAGGATTTCGTTGGAAACGGGATTACGCATAAAAAGTAGACAGCAGCATCCTCAGAAACTTCTTTGTGATGTGTGCATTCAAGTCACAGAGTTGAACATTCCCTTTCGTACAGTAGTTTTGAAACACTCTTTCTGTAGTATCTGGAATTGAACATTAGGACAGCTTTCAGGTCTATGGTGAGAAAGGAAATATCTTCAAATAAAAACTAGACAGAAGCATTCTCATAAACTTGTTTGTGATGTGTGAACTCAGCTAAGAGACGTGGATCTTTCTTTTGATAGAGCAGTTCTGAAAAACACGTTTTGTTGAATCTGCAAGTGGACATTTGGATAGATTTGAAGATTTCGTTGGAAACGGGAATATCTTCATATCAAATCTAGACAGAAGCATTCTCAGAAACGTCTTTGTGACGTTTGCATTCAACTCATAGAGTTGAACATTCCCTTTCAGAGAGCAGCTTTGAAGCACTCTTTTTGTAGTATGTGCAAGGGGATATTTGGAGCGCTCTGAGGCCTAAGGTGAAAAAGCAAATATCTTCCCATAACCACTAGACAGAAACATTCTCAGAAACTCCTTTATGACGTATGCACTCACCTAACAGAAAAGAACCTTCCTTTTGACAGAGCAGTTTTTATACACTCTTTTTGTAGAATCTGCAAGTGGATATTTGGATAGCTGTGAAGATTTCGTTGGAAACGGGAATATCTTCCTATAAAATCTAGACAGAAGCATTCTCAGAAACTGCTCTCTTATGTCTGCATTCAAGTCACAGAGTTGAACATTGCCTTTCCTAGAGCAGGTTTGAAACGCTCTTTTTGTAGTATATGGAAGTGGACGTTTCGGACGGTTTGAGGACCATGGTGATAAAGGGAATATCTTCCCCTACAAGCTAGAAAGAAGCATTCTGTGAAACTTGTTTGTGATGTGTGTACTCAACTAACAGAGTTGAACCTTTCTTTTCACAGAGCAGCTTTGAAACACTCTTTTTGTAGAATCTGCGAGGGGATATTTGGATAGATTTCAGGATTTCGTTGGAAACGGGTATATCTTCATATAAAATCTCGACAGAAGCATTCTCAGAAACTTCTTTGTGATATGTGCATTCAAGTCACACAGTTGAATATTCCCTTTCACAGAGTAGGTTTGAAACACTCTTTTTGTAGTATCTGGAAGTGGACATTTGGAGCGCCTTGACACCTACGGTGAAAAGGGAAATATCTTCCCATAAAAACTAGAGAGAAGCAATCTCAGAATCTTCCTTGGGATATATGCACGCAGCTAACAGAGTTGAACTTTTCTATTGACAGAGCAGTTTTGAAACAGTCTTTCTGTGGAATCTGCAAGTGGATATTTGGATAGCTTGGAGGATTTCGTTGGAAACGGGATTACGTATAAAAAGTAGACAGCAGCATCCTCAGAAACTTCTTTGTGATGTGTGCATTCAAGTCACAGAGTTGAACATTCCCTTTCATACAGCAGTTTTGAAACACTCTTTCTGTAGTATCTGGAAGTGAACAATAGGACAGCTTTCAGGTCTATGGTGAGAAAGGAAATATCTTCAAATAAAAACTAGACAGAAGGATTCTCATAAACTTGTTTGTGATGTGTGAACTCAGCTAACAGAGGTGGATCTTTCTTTTGATACAGCAGTTTTGAAAAACACTTTTTGTTGAATCTGCAAGTGGACATTTGGATAGATTTGAAGATTTCGTTGGAAACGGGAATATCTTCATATCAAATCTAGACAGAAGCATTCTCAGAAACGTCTTTGTGATGTTTGCATTCAACTCATAGAGTTGAACATTCCCTTTCAGAGAGCAGCTTTGAAGCACTCTTTTTGTAGTATGTGCAAGTGGATATTTGGAGCGCTCTGAGGCCTACGGGGAAAAAGCAAATATCTTCCCATAACCACTAGACAGAAACATTCTCAGAAACTCCTTTATGACGTATGCTCTCACCTAACAGAGAAGAACCTTCCTTTTGACAGAGCAGTTTTGATACACTCTTTTTGTAGAATCTGCAAGTGGATATTTGGATAGCTGTGAAGATTTCGTTGGAAACGGGAATATCTTCCTATAAAATCTAGACAGAAGCATTCTCAGAAAATGCTCTGTGATGTCTGCATTCAAGTCACAGAGTTGAACATTGCCTTTCATAGAGCAGGTTTGAAACGCTCTTTTTGTAGTATATGGAAGTGGACGTTTCGGACGGTTTGAGGCCCATGGTGATAAAGGGAATATCTTCCCCTACAAGCTAGAAAGAAGCATTCTGTGAAACTTGTTTGTGATGTGTGTACTCAACTAACAGAGTTGAACCTTTCTTTTCACAGAGCAGTTTTGAAACACTCTTTTCGTAGAATCTGCGAGGGGATATTTGGATAGATTTCAGCATTTCGTTGGAAACGGGAATATCTTCATATAAAATCTCGACAGAAGCATTCTCAGAAACTTCCTTGTGATATGTGCATTCAAGTCACAGAGTTGAATATTCCCTTTCACAGAGTAGGTTTGAAACACTCTTTTTGTAGTATCTGGAAGTGGACATTTGGAGCGCCTGGACGCCTACGGTGAAAAGGGAAATATCTTCCCATAAAAACTAGACAGAAGCAATCTCAGAATCTTCTTCGGGATATATGCACGCAGCTAACAGAGTTGAACCTTTCTATTGACAGAGCAGTTTTGAAACAGTCTTTCTGTGGAATCTGCTAGTGGATATTTGGATAGCTTGGAGGATTTCGTTGGAAACGGGATTAAGTATAAAAAGTAGACAGCAGCATCCTCAGAATCTTCTTTGTGATGTGTGCATTCAAGTCACAGAGTTGAACATTCCCTTTCGTACAGCAGTGTTGAAACACTCTTTATGTAGTATCTGGAAGTGAACATTAGGACAGCTTTCAGGTCTATGGTGAGAAAGGAAATATCTTCAAATAAAAACTAGACAGAAGCATTCTCATAAACTTGTTTGTGATGTGTGAACTCAGCTAACAGAGGCGGATCTTTCTTTTGATAGAGCAGTTCGGAAAAACACTTTTTGTTGAATCTGCAAGTGGACATTTGGATAGATTTGAAGATTTCGTTGGAAACGGGAATATCTTCATATCAAATCTAGACAGAAGCATTCTCAGAAACGTCTTTGGGATGTTTGCATTCAACTCATAGAGTTGAACATTCCCTTTCAGAGAGCAGCTTTGAAGCACTCTTTTTGTAGTATGTGCAAGTGGATATTTGGAGCGCTCTGAGGCCTAAGGTGAAAAAGCAAATATCTTCCCATAACCACTAGACAGAAACATTCTCAGAAACTCCTTTATGACGTATGTACTCAACTAACAGAGAAGAACCTTCCTTTTGACAGAGGAGTTTTGATACACTCTTTTTGTAGAATCTGCAAGTGGATATTTGGATAGCTGTGAAGATTTCGTTGGAAACGGGAATATCTTCCTATAAAATCCAGACAGAAGCATTCTCAGAAACAGCTCTGTGATGTCTGCATTCAAGTCACAGAGTTGAACACTGCCTTTCCTAGAGCAGGTTTGAAACGCTCTTTTTGTAGTATATGGAAGTGGACGTTTCGGACGGTTTGAGACCCATGGTGATAAAGGGAATATATTCCCCTACAAGCTAGAGAGAAGCATTCTGTGAAACTTGTTTGTGATGTTTGTACTCAACTAACAGAGTTGAACCTTTCTTTTACAGAGCAGTTTTGAAACACTCTTTTTGTAGAATCTGCGAGGGGATATTTGGATACATTTCAGGATTTCGTTGGAAACGGGAATATCTTCATATAAAATCTCGACAGAAGCATTCTCAGAAACTTCTTTGTGATATCTGCATTCAAGTCACAGAGTTGAATATTCCCTTTCACAGAGTAGGTTTGAAACACTCTTTTTGTAGTGTCTGGAAGTGGAAATTTGGAGCACATTGACACCTACGGTGAAAAGGGAAATATCTTCCCATTAAAACTAGACAGAAGCAATCTCAGAATTTTCTTTGGGATATATGCACACAGCTAACAGAGTTGAACTTTTCTATTGACATAGCAGTTTTGAAACGGTCTTTCTGTGGAATCTGCAAGTGGATATTTGGATAGCTTGGAGGATTTCGTTGGAAACGGGATTACGTATAAAAAGTAGACAGCAGCATCCTCAGAAACTTCTTTGTGATGTGTGCATTCAAGTCACAGAGTTGAACATTCCCTTTCGTACAGCAGTTTTGAAACACTCTTTCTGTAGTATCTGGAAGTGAACATTAGGACACCTTTCAGCTCTATGGTGAGAAAGGAAATATCTTCAAATAAAAACTAGACAGAAGCATTCTCATAAACATGTTTGTGATGTGTGAACTCAGCTAAAAGAGGTGGATCTTTCTTTTGATAGAGCAGTTCTGAAAAACACTTTTTGTTGAATCTGCAAGTGGACATTTGGATGGATTTGAAGATTTCTTTGGAAACGGGAATATCTTCATATCAAATCTAGACAGAAGCATTCTCAGAAACGTCTTTGTGATGTTTGCATTCAACTCATAGAGTTGAACATTCCGTTTCAAAGAGCAGCTTTGAGGCACTCTTTTTGTAGTATGTGCAAGTGGATATTTGGAGCGCTCTGAGGACTAAGGTGAAAAAGCAAATATCTTCCCATAACCACTAGACAGAAACATTCTCAGAAACTCCTTTATGACGTATGCACTCACCTAACAGAAAAGAACCTTCCTTTTGACAGAGCAGTTTTGATACACTCTTTTTGTAGAATCTGCAAGTGGATATTTGGATAGCTGTGAAGATTTCGTTGGAAACGGGAATGTCTTCCTATAAAATCTAGACAGAAGCATTCTCAGAAACTGCTCTGTGATGTCTGCATTCAAGTCACAGAGTTGAACATTGCCTTTCATAGAGCAGGTTTGAAACGCTCTTTTTGTAGTATATGGAAGTGGACGTTTCGGACGGTTTGAGGCCCATGGTGATAAAGGAAATATCTTCCCCTACAAGCTAGAAAGAAGCATTCTGTGAAACTTGTTTGTGATGTGTGTACTCAACTAACAGAGTTGAACCTTTCTTTTTACAGAGCAGTTTTGAAACACTCTTTTTGTAGAATCTGCGAGGGGAAATTTGGATACATTTCAGGATTTCGTTGGAAACGGGAATATCTTCATACAAAATCTCGACAGAAGCATTCTCAGAAGCTTCTTTGTGATATGTGCATTGAAGTCACAGAGTTCAATATTCCCTTTCACAGAGTAGGTTTGAAACACTCTTTTTGTAGTATCTGGAAGTGGACATTTGGAGCGCCTTGACGCCTACGGTGAAAAGGGAAATATCTTCCCATAAAAACTAGACAGAAGCAATCTCAGAATCTTCTTTGGGATATATGCACGCAGCTAACAGAGTTGAACCTTTCTATTGACAGAGCAGTTTTGAAACAGTCTTTCTGTGGAATCTGCAAGTGGATATTTGGATAGTTTGGAGGATTTCGTTGGAAACGGGATTACGTATAAAAATTAGACAGCAGCATCCTCAGAAACTTCTTTGTGATGTGTGCATTCAAGTCACAGAGTTGAATATTCCCTTTCATACAGCAGTTTTGAAACACTCTTTCTGTAGTATCTGGAAGTGAACTTTAGGAGAGCTTTCAGGTATATAGTGAGAAAGGATATATCTTCAAATAAAAACTAGACAGAAGCATTCTCATAAAGTTGTTTGTGATGTGTGAACTCAGCTAACAGAGGTGGATCTTTCTTTTGATAGAGCAGTTCTGAAAAACACTTTTTGTTGAATCTGCAAGTGGACATTTGGATAGACTTGAAGATTTCGTTGGACACGGGAATATCTTCATATCAAATCTAGACAGAAGCATTTTCAGAAACGTCTTTGTGATGTTTGCATTCAACTCATAGAGTTGAACATTCCGTTTCAGAGAGCAGCTTTGAGGCACACTTTTTGTAGTATGTGCAAGTGGATATTTGGAGCGCTCTGAGGCCTACGGTGAAAAAGCAAATATCTTCCCATAACCACTAGACAGAAACATTCTCAGAACTCCTTTATGACGTATGCACTCACCTAACAGAGAAGAACCTTCCTTTTGACAGAGCAGTTTTGATACACTCTTTTTGTAGAATCTGCAAGTGGATATTTGGATAGCTGTGAAGATTTCGTTGGAAACGGGAATATCTTCCTATAAAATCTAGACAGAAGGATTCTCAGAAACTGCTCTGTGATGTCTGCATTCAAGTCACAGAGTTGAACATTGCCTTTCATAGAGCAGGTTTGAAACGCTCTTTTTGTAGTATATGGAAGTGGACGTTTCGGACGGTTTGAGGCCAATGGTGATAAAGGGAATATCTTCCCCTACCAGCTAGAAAGAAGCATTCTGTGAAACTTGTTTGTGATGTGTGTACTCAACTAACAGAGTTGAACCTTTCTTTTTACAGAGCAGTTTTGAAACACGCTTTTTGTAGAATCTGCGAGGGGATATTTGGATAGATTTCAGGATTTCGTTGGAAACGGGAATATCTTCATATAAAATCTCGACAGAAGCATTCTCAGAAACTTCATTGTGATATCTGCATTCAAGGCACAGAGTTGAATATTCCCTTTCAGAGAGTAGGTTTGAAACACTCTTTTTGTAGTATCTGGAAGTGGACATTTGGAGCGCCTTGACACCTACGGTGAAAAGGGAAATATCTTCCCATAAAAACTAGACAGAAGCAATCTCAGAATCTTCTTTGGGATATATGCACGCAGCTAACAGAGTTGAACCTTTCTATTGACAGAGCAGTTTTGAAACAGTATTTCTGTGGAATCTGCAAGTGGATATTTGGATAGCTTGGAGGATTTCGTTGGAAAAGGGATTACGTATAAAAAGTAGACAGCAGCATCCTCAGAAACTTCTTTGTGATGTGTGCATTCAAGTCACAGAGTTGAACATTCCCTTTCGTACAGCAGTTTTGAAACACTCTTTCTGTAGTATCTGGAAGTGAACTTTAGGAGAGCTTTCAGGTCTATAGTGAGAAAGGAAATATCTTCAAATAAAAACTAGACAGAAAGCATTCTCATAAACTTCTTTGTGATGTGTGAACTCAGCTAACCGAGGTGGATCTTTCTTTTGATAGAGCAGTTCTGAAAAACACTTTTTGTTGAATCTGCAAGTGGACATTTGGATAGATTTGAAGATTTCGTTGGAAACGGGAATAACTTCATTTCAAATCTAGACAGAAGCATTCTCAGAAACGTCTTTGTGACGTTTGCATTCAACTCATAGAGTTGAACATTCCGTTTCAGAGAGCAGCTTTGAGGCACTCTTTTTGTAGTATGTGGAAGTGGATATTTGGAGCGCTCTGAGGCCTACGGTGAAAAAGCAAATATATTCCCATAACCACTAGACAGAAACATTCTCAGAAATTCCTTTATGACGTATGCACTCACCTAACAGAGAAGAACCTTCCTTTTGACAGAGCAGTTTTGATACACTCTTTTTGTAGAATCTGCAAGTGGATATTTGGATACCTGTGAAGATTTCGTTGGAAACGGGAATATCTTCCTATAACATCTAGACAGAAGCATTCTCAGAAACTGCTCTGTGATGTCTGCATTCAAGTCACAGAGTTGAACATTGCCTTTCATAGAGCAGGTTTGAAACGCTCTTTTTGTACTATATGGAAGAGGACGTTTCGGACGGTTTGAGGCCCATGGTGATAAAGGGAATATCTTCCCCTACAAGCTAGAAAGAAGCATTCTGTGAAACATGTTTGTGATGTGTGTTCTCAACTAACAGAGTTGAACCTTTCTTTTTACAGAGCACTTTTGAAACACTCTTTTTGTAGAATCTGCGAGGGGATATTTGGATAGATTTCAGGATTTCGTTGGAAACGGGAATATCTTCATATAAAATCTCGACAGAAGCATTCTCAGAAACTTCTTTGTGATATCTGCATTCAAGTCACAGAGTTGAATATTCCCTTTCACAGAGTAGGTTTGAAACACTCTTTTTGTAGTGTCTGGAAGTGGACATTTGGAGCACATTGACACCTACGGTGAAAAGGGAAATATCTTCCCATAAAAACTAGACAGAAGCAATCTCAGAATCTTCTTTGGGATATATGCACGCAGCTAACAGAGTTGAACCTTTCTATTGACAGAGCAGTTTTGAAACAGTCTTTCTGTGGAATCTGCAAGTGGATATTTCGATAGCTTGGAGGATTTCGTTGGAAACGGGATTACGTATAAAAAGTAGCCAGCAGCATCCTCAGAAACTTCTTTGTGATGTGTGCATTCAAGTCACAGAGTTGAGCATTCCCTTTCGTACAGCAGTTTTGAAACACTCTTTCTGTAGTATCTGGAAGTGAACATTAGGACAGCTTTCAGGTCTATGGTGAGAAAGGAAATATCTTCAAATAAAAACTAGACAGAAGCATTCTCATAAACTTGTTTGTGATGTGTGAACTCAGCTAACAGAGGTGGATCTTTCTTTTGATAGAACAGTTCTGAAAAACACTTTTTGTTGAATCTGCAAGTGGACATTTGGATAGATTTGAAGATTTCGTTGGAAACGGGAATATCTTCATATCAAATCTAGACAGAAAGCATTCTCAGAAACGTCTTTGTGATGTTTGCATTCAACTCATAGAGTTGAACATTCCGTTTCAGAGACCAGCTTTGAAGCACTCTTTTTGTAGTATGTGCAAGTGGATATTTGGAGCGCTCTGAGGCCTACGGTGAAAAAGCAAATATCTTCCCATAACCACTAGACAGAAACATGCTCAGAAACTCCTTTATGACGTATGCACTCACCTAACAGAGAAGAACCTTCCTTTTGACAGAGCAGTTTTGATACACTCTTTTTGTAGAATCTGCAAGTGGATATTTGGATAGCTGTGAAGATTTCGTTGGAAACGGGAATATCTTCCTATAAAATCTAGACAGAAGCATTCTCAGAAACTGCTCTGTGATGTCTGCATTCAAGTCACAGAGTTGAACATTGCCTTTCATAGAGCAGGTTTGAAACCCTCTTTTTGTAGTATATGGAAGTGGACGTTTCGGACGGTTTGAGGCCCATGGTGATAAAGGGAATATCTTCCCCTACAAGCTAGAAAGAAGCATTCTGTGAAACTTGTTTGTGATGTGTGTACTCAACTAATAGAGTTGAACCTTTCTTTTTACAGAGCAGTTTTGAAACACTATTTTTGTAGAATCTGCGAGGGGATATTTGGATAGATTTCAGGATTTCGTTGGAAACGGGAATATCTTCATATAAAATCTCGACAGAAGCATTCTCAGAAACTTCATTGTGATATCTGCATTCAAGTCACAGAGTTGAATATTCCCTTTCACAGAGTAGGTTTGAAACACTCTTTTTGTAGTATCTGGAAGTGGACATTTGGAGCGCCTTGACACCTACGGTGAAAAGGGAAATATCTTCCCATAAAAACTAGACAGAAGCAATCTCAGAATCTTCTTTGGGATATATGCACGCAGCTAACAGAGTTGAACCTTTCTACTGACAGAGCAGTTTAGAAACAGTCTTTCTGTGGAATCTGCAAGTGGATATTTGGATAGATTGGAGGATTTCGTTGGAAACGGGATTACGTATAAAAAGTAGACAGCAGCATCCTCAGAAACTTCCTTGTGATGTGTGCATTCAAGTCACAGAGATGAACATTCCCTTTCGTACAGCAGTTTTGAAACACTCTTTCTGTAGTATCTGGAAGTGAACATTAGGAGGGCTTTCAGGTCTATAGTGAGAAAGGATATATCTTCAAATAAAAACTAGACAGAAGAATTCTGATAAACTTGTTTGTGAAGTGTGAACTCAGCTAACACAGGTGGATCTTTCTTTTGATACAGCAGTTTTGAAAAACACTTTGTTGAATCTGCAAGTGGACATTTGGATAGATTTGAAGATTTCGTTGGAAACGGGAATATCTTCTTATCAAATCTAGACAGAAGCATTCTCAGAAACGTCTTTGTGATGTTTGCATTCAACTCACAGATTTGAACATTCCCTTTCAGAGAGCAGCTTTGAAGCACTCTTTTTGTAGTATGTGCAAGGGGATATTTGGAGCGCTCTGAGGCCTACGGTGAAAAAGCAAATATCTTCCCATAACCACTAGACAGAAACATTCTCAGAAACTCCTTTATGACGTATGCACTCACCTAACAGAGAAGAAGCTTCCTTTTGACAGAGCACTTTTGATACACTCTTTTTGTAGAATCTGAAAGTGGATATTTGGATAGCTGTGAAGATTTCGTTGGAAACGGGAATATCTTCCTATAAAATCTAGACAGAAGCATTCTCAGAAACTGCTCTGTGATGTCTGCATTCAAGTCACAGAGTTGAACATTGCCTTTCATTTAGCAGGTTTGAAACGCTCTTTTTGTAGTATATGGAAGTGGACGTTTCGGACGGTTTGAGGCCCATGGTGATAAAGGGAATATCTTCCCCTACAAGCTAGAAAGAAGCATTCTGTGAAACTTGTTTGTGATGTGTGTACTGAAGTAACAGAGTTGAACCTTTCTTTTTACAGAGCAGTTTTGAAACACTCTTTTTGTAGAATCTGCGAGGGGATATTTGGATAGAATTCAGGATTTCGTTGGAAACGGGAATATCTTCATAGAAAATCTCGACAGAAGCATTCTCAGAAGCTTCGTTGTGATATGTGCATTCAAGTCACAGAGTTGAATATTCCCTTTCACAGAGTAGGTTTGAAACACACTTTTTGTAGTATCTGGAAGTGGACTTTTGGAGCGCCTTGATGCCTACGGTGAAAAGGGAAATATCTTCTCATAAAAAGTAGACAGAAGCAATCTCAGAATCTTCTTTGGGATATATGCACGCAGCTAACAGAGTTGAACCTTTCTATTGACAGAGCAGTTTTGAAACAGTCTTTCTGTGGAATCTGCAAGTGGATATTTGGATAGCTTGGGAGGATTTCGTTGGAAACGGGATTACGTATAAAAAGTAGACAGCAGCATCCTCAGAAACTTCTTTGTGATGTGTGCATTCAAGTCACAGAGTTGAACATTCCCTTTCTTACAGCAGTTTTGAAACGCTCTTTCTGTAGTATCTGGAAGTGAACATTAGGACAGCTTTCAGGTCTATGGTGAGAAAGGAAATATCTTCAAATAAAAACTAGACAGAAGCATTCTCATAAACTTGTTTGTGATGTGTGAACTCAGCTAACAGACGTGGATCTTTCTTTTGATACAGCAGTTTTGAAAAACACTTTTTGTTGAATCTGCAAGTGGACATTTGGATAGATTTGAAGATTTCGTTGGAAACGGGAATATCTTCATATCAAATACTAGACAGAATCATTCCCAAAAACGTCTTTGTGATGTTTGCATTCAACTCATAGAGTTGAACATTCCGTTTCAGAGAGCAGCTTTGAAGCACTCTTTTTGTAGTATGTGCAAGGGGATATTTGGAGTGCTCTGAGGCCTAAGGTGAAAAGGCAAATATCTTCCCATAACCACTAGACAGAAACATTCTCAGAAACTCCTTTATGACGTATGCACTCACCTAACAGAGAAGAAACCTTCCTTTTGACAGAGCAGTTTTGATACACTCTTTTTGTAGAATCTGCAAGTGGATATTTGGATAGCTGTGAAGATTTCGTTGGAAACGGGAATATCTTCCTATAAAATCTATACAGAAGCATTCTCAGAAACTGCTCTGTGATGTCTGCATTCAAGTCACAGAGTTGAACATTGTCTTTCCTAGAACAGGTTTGAAACGCTCTTTTTGTAGTATATGGAAGTGGACGTTTCGGACGGTTTGAGGCCCATGGTGATAAAGGGAATATCTTCCCCTACAAGCTAGAAAGAAGCATTCTGTGAAACTTGTTTGTGATGTGTGTACTCAACTAACAGAGTTGAACCTTTGTTTTTACAGAGCAGTTTTGAAACACTCTTTTTGTAGAATCTACGAGGGGATATTTGGATACATTTCAGCATTTCGTTGGAAACGGGAATATCTTCATATAAAATCTCGACAGAAGCATTCTCAGAAACTTCTTTGTGATATCTGCATTCAAGTCACAGAGTTGAATATTCCCTTTCACAGAGTAGGTTTGAAACACTCCTTTTGTAGTATCTGGAAGTGGACATTTGGATCGCCTTGACGCCTACGGTGAAAAGGGAAATATCTTCTCATAAAAACTAGACAGAAGCAATCTCAGAATCTTCTTTGGGATATATGCACGCAGTTAACAGAGTTGAACCTTTCTATTGACAGAGCAGTTTTGAAACAGTCTTTCTGTGGAATCTCCAAGTGGATATTTGGATAGCTTGGAGCATTTCGTTGGAAACGGGATTACGTATAAAAAGTAGACAGCAGCATCCTCAGAAACTTCTTTGTGATGTGTGCATTCAAGTCACAGGGTTGAACATTCCCTTTCGTACAGCAGTTTTGAAACACTCTTTCTGTAGTAACTGGAAGTGAACATTAGGACAGCTTTCAGGTCTATGGTGAGAAAGGAAATATCTTCAAATAAAAACTAGACAGAAGCATTCTCATAATCTTGTTTGTGATGTGTGAACTCAGCTAACAGACGTGGATCTTTCTTTTGATACAGCAGTTTTGAAAAACACTTTTTGTTGAATCTGCAAGTGGACATTTGGATAGATATGAAGATTTCGTTGGAAACGGGAATATCTTCATATCAAATCTAGACAGAAGCATTCTCAGAAACGTCTTTGTCATGTTTGCATTCAACTCATAGAGTTGAACATTCCGTTTCAGAGAGCAGCTTTGAAGCACTCTTTTTGTAGTATGTGCAAGTGGATATTTGGAGCGCTCTGAGGCCTAAGGTGAAAAAGCAAATATCTTACCGTAACCACTAGACAGAAACATTCTCAGAAACTCCTTTATGACGTATGTACTCAACTAACAGAGAAGAACCTTCCTTTTGACAGAGCAGTTTTGATACACTCTTTTTGTAGAATCTGCAAGTGGATATTTGGATAGCTGTGAAGATTTCGCTGGAAACGGGAATATCTTCCTATAAAATCTAGACAGAAGCATTCTCAGAAACTGCTCTGTGATGTCTGCATTCAAGTCACAGAGTTGAACATTGCCTTTCATAGAGCAGGTTTCAAACACTCTTTTTTTAGTATATGGAAGTGGACGCTTCGGACGGTTTGAGGCCCATGGTGATACAGGGAATATCTTCCCCTACAAGCTAGAAAGAAGCATTCTGTGAAAGTTGTTTGTGATGTGTGTACTCAACTAACAGAGTTGAACCTTTGTTTTTACAGAGCAGTTTTGAAACACTCTTTTTGTAGAATCTGCGAGGGGATATTTGGATAGATTTCAGGATTTCATTGGAAACGGGAATATCTTCATATAAAATCTCAACAGAAGCATTCTCAGAAACTTCTTTGTGATATGTGCATTCAAGTCACAGGTTTGAATATTCCCTTTCACAGAGTAGGTTTGAAACACTCTTTTTGTAGTATCTGGAAGTGGACATTTGGAGCGCCTTGACGCCTAAGGTGAAAAGGGAAATATCTTCCCATAAAAACTAGACAGAAGCAATCTCAGAATCTTCTTTGGGATATATGCACCGCAGCTAACAGAGTTGAACCTTTCTATTGACAGAGCAGTTTTGAAACAGTCTTTCTGTGGAATCTGCAAGTGGATATTTGGATAGCTTGGAGGATTTCGTTGGAAACGGGATTACGCATAAAAAGTAGACAGCAGCATCCTCAGAAACTTCTTTGTGATGTGTGCATTCAAGTCACAGAGTTGAATATTCCCTTTCGTACAGCAGTTTTGAAACACTCTTTCTGTAGTATCTGGAAGTGAACACTAGGACAGCTTTCAGGTCTATGGTGAGAAAGGAAATATCTTCAAATAAAAACTAGACAGAAGCATTCTCTTAAACTTGTTTGTGATGTGTGAACTCAGCTAACAGATGTGGATCTTTCTTTTGATATAACAGTTTTGAAAAACACTTTTTGTTGAATCTGCAAATGGACATTTGGATAGATTTGAAGATTTCGTTGGAAACGGGAATATCTTCATATCAAATCTAGACAGAAGCATTCTCAGAAACGTCTTTGTGATGTTTGCATTCAACTCATAGAGTTGAACATTCCGTTTCAGAGAGCAGCTTTGAAGCACTCTTTTTGTAGTATGTGCAAGTGGATATTTGGATCGCTCTGAGGCCTACGGTGAAAAAGCAAATATCTTCCCATAACCACTAGACAGAAACATTCTCAGAAACTCCTTTATGACGTATGCACTCACCTAACAGAGAAGAACCTTCCTTTTGACAGAGCAGTTTTGATACACTCTTTTTGTAGAATCTGCAAGTGGATATGTGGATAGCTGTGAAGATTTCGTTGGAAACGGGAATATCTTCCTATAAAATCTAGACAGAAGCATTCTCAGAAACTGCTCTGTGATGTCTGCATTCAAGTCACAGAGTTGAACATTGCCTTTCATAGAGCAGGTTTGAAACGCTCTTTTTGTAGTATATGGAAGTGGATGTTTCGGACGGTTGGAGGCCCATGGTGATAAAGGGAATATCTTCCCCTACAAGATAGAAAGAAGCATTCTGTGAAACTTGTTTGTGATGTGTGTACTCAACTAAGAGAGTTGAACCTTTCTTTTCACAGAGCAGTTTTGAAACACTCTTTTTGTAGACTCTCCGAGGGGATATTTGGATAGATTTCAGGATTTCGTTGGAAACGGGAATATCTTCATACAAAATCTCGACAGAAGCATTCTCAGAAACTTCTTTGTGATATGTGCATTCAAGTCACAGAGTTGAATATTCCCTTTCACAGAGTAGGTTTGAAACACTCTTTTGGTAGTATCTGGAAGTGGACATTTGGAGCGCCTTGACACCTACGGTGAAAAGGGAAATATCTTCCCATCAAAACTAGACAGAAGCAATCTCAGAATCTTCTTTGGGATATATGCATGCAGCTAACAGAGTTGAACCTTTCTATTGACAGAGCAGTTTTGAAACAGTCTTTCTGTGGAATCTGCAAGTGGATATTTGGATAGCTTGGAGGATTTCGTTGGAAACGGGATTACGTATAAAAAGTAGACAGCAGCATCCTCAGAAACTTCTTTGTGATGTGTGCATTCAAGTCACAGAGTTGAACATTCCCTTTCGTACAGCAGTTTTGAAACACTCTTTCTGTAGTACCTGGAAGTGAACATTAGGACAGCTTTCAGGTCTATGGTGAGAAAGGAAATATCTTCAAATAAAAACTAGACAGAAGCATTCTCATAAACTTGTTTGTAATGTGTGAACTCAGCTAACACACGTGGATCTTTCTTTTGATAGAGCAGTTCTGAAAAACACTTTTTGTTGAATCTGCAAGTGGACATTTGGATAGATTTGAAGATTTCGTTGGAAACGGGAATATCTTCATATCAAATCTAGACAGAAGCATTCTCAGAAACGTCTTTGCGATGTTTGCATTCAACTCATAGAGTTGAACATTCCGTTTCAGAGAGCAGCTTTGAGGCACTCTTTTTGTAGTATGTGCAAGTGGATATTTGGAGCGCTCTGAGGCCTACGGTGAAAAAGCAAATATCATCCCATAACCACTAGACAGAAACATTCTCAGAAACTCCTTTATGATGTATGCGCTCACCTAACAGAGAAGAACCTTCCTTTTGACAGAGCACTTTTGATACACTCTTTTTGTAGAATCTGCAAGTGGATATTTGGATAGCTGTGAAGATTTCGTTGGAAACGGGAATATCTTCCTATAAAATCTAGACAGAAGCATTCTCAGAAACCGCTCTGTGATGTCTGCATTCAAGTCACAGAGTTGAACATTGCCTTTCATAGAGCAGGTTTGAAACGCTCTTTTTGTAGTATATGGAAGTGGATGTTTCGGACGGTTGGAGGCCCATGGTGATAAAGGGAATATCTTCCCCTACAAGCTAGAAAGAAGCATTCTGTGAAACTTGTTTGTGATGTGTCTACTCAACTAACAGAGTTGAACCTTTCTTTTTACAGAGCAGTTTTGAAACACTCTTTTTGTAGAATCTGCGAGGGGATATTTGGATACATTTCAGGATTTCGTTGGAAACGGGAATATCTTCATATAAAATCTCGACAGAAGCATTCTCAGAAACTTCCTTGTGATATGTGCATTCAAGTCACAGAGTTGAATATTCCCTTTCACAGAGTAGGTTTGAAACACTCTTTTTGTAGTATCTGGAAGTGGACATTTGGAGCACCTTGACGCCTACGGTGAAAAGGGAAATATCTTCCCATAAAAACTAGACAGAAGCAATCTCAGAATCTTCTTTGGGATATATGCACGCAGCTAACAGAGTTGAACCTTTCTATTGACAGAGCAGTTTTGAAACAGTCTTTCTGTGGAATCTGCAAGTGGATATTTCGATAGCTTGGAGGATTTCGTTGGAAACGGGATTACGTATAAAAAGTAGACAGCAGCATCCTCAGAAACTTCTTTGTGATGTGTGCATTCAAGTCACAGAGTTGAACATTCCCTTTCGTACAGCAGTTTTGAAACACTCTTTCTGTAGCATCTGGAAGTGAACATTAGGACAGCTTTCAGGTCTATGTTGAGAAAGGAAATATCTTCAAATAAAAACTAGACAGAAGCATTCTCATAAACTTCTTTGTGATGTGTGAACTCAGCTAACAGAGGTGGATCTTTCTTTTGATAGAGCAGTTCTGAAAAACACTTTTTGTTGAATCTGCAAGTGGACATTTGGATAGATATGAAGATTTCGTTGGAAACGGGAATATCTTCATATCAAATCTAGACAGAAGCATTCTCAGAAACGTCTTTGCGATGTTTGCATTCAACTCATAGAGTTGAACATTCCGTTTCAGAGACCAGCTTTGAAGCACTCTTTTTGTAGTATGTGCAAGTGGATATTTGGAGCGCTCTGAGGCCTACGGTGAAAAAGCAAATATCTTCCCATAACCACTAGACAGAAACATTCTCAGAAACTCCTTTATGACGTATGCACTCACCTAACAGAGAAGAACCTTCCTTTTGACAGAGCAGTTTTGATACACTCTTTTTGTAGAATCTGCAAGTGGATATTTGGATAGCTGTGAAGATTTCGTTGGAAACGGGAATATATTCCTATAAAATCTAGACAGAAGCATTCTCAGAAACTGCTCTGTGATGTCTGCATTCAAGTCACAGAGTTGAACATTGCCTTTCATAGAGCAGGTTTGAAACGCTCTTTTTGTAGTATATAAAAGTGGACGTTTCGGACGGTTTGAGGCCCATGGTCATAAAGGGAATATCTTCCCATACAAGCTAGAAAGAAGCATTCTGAGAAACTAGTTTGTGATGTGTGTATTCAACTAACAGCGGTGAACCTTTCTTTTTACAGAGCTGTTTTGGAAAACTCTTTTTGTAGAATCTGCGAGGGGATATTTGCATAGGTTTCAGGATTTCGTTGGAAACGGGAATAACTTCATATAAAATCTCGACAGAAGCATTCTCAGAAACTTCTTTGTGATATCTGCCTTCAAGTCACAGAGTTGAATATTCCCTTTCACAGAGTAGGTTTGTAACACTCTTTTTGTAGTATCTGGAAGTGGACATTTGGAGCGCCTTGACGCCTACGGTGAAAAGGGAAATATCTTCCCATAAAAACTAGACAGAAGCAATCTCAGAATCTTCTTTGGGATATATGCACGCAGCTAACAGAGTTGAACCTTTCTATTGACAGAGCAGTTTTGAAACAGTCTTTCTGTGGAATCTGCAAGTGGATATTTGGATAGCTTGGAGGGTTTCGTTGGAAACGGGATTACGTATAAAAAGTAGACAGCAGCATCCTCAGAAACTTCTTTGTGATGTGTGCATTCAAGTCACAGAGTTGAACATTCCCTTTCGTACAGCAGTTTTGAAACACTCTTTCTGTAGTATCTGGAAGTGAACATTAGTACAGCTTTCAGGGCTATGGTCAGAAAGGAAATATCTTCAAATAAAAACTAGACAGAAGCATTCTCATAAACTTGTTTGTGATGTGTGAACTCAGCTAACGCACGTGGATCTTTCTTTTGATAGAGCAGTTCTGAAAAACACTTTTTGTTGAATCTGCAAGTGGACATTTGGATAGATTTGAAGATTTCGTTGGAAACGGGAATATCTTCATATCAAATCTAGACAGAAGCATTGTCAGAAACGTCTTTGTCATGTTTGCATTCAACTCTTAGAGTTGAACATTCCGTTTCAGAGAGCAGCTTTGAAGCACTCTTTTTGTAGTATGTGCAAGCGGATATTTGGAGCGCTCTGAGGCCTACGGTGAAAAAGCAAATATCTTCCCATAACCACTAGACAGAAACATTCTCAAAAACTCCTTTATGACGTATGTACTCAACTGACAGAGAAGAACTTTCCTTTTGACGGAGCATTTTTGATACACTCTTTTTGTACTGTCTGCAAGTGGATATTTGGATAGCTGTGAAGATTTCGTTGGAAACGGGAATATCTTCCTATAAAACCTAGACAGAAGCATTCTCAGAAACTGCTCTGTGATGTCTGCATTCAAGTCACAGAGTTGAACATTGCCTTTCATAGAGCAGGTTTGAAACGCTCTTTTTGTAGTATATGGAAGTGGACGTTTCGGAGGGTTTGAGGCCCATGGTGATAAAGGGAATATCTTCCCCTACAAGCTAGAAAGAAGAATTCTGTGAAACTTGTTTGTGATGTGTGTACTCAACTAACAGAGTTGAACCTTTCTTTTTACAGAGCAGTTTTGAAACACTCTTTTTGTAGAATCTGCGAGGGGATATTTGGATAGATTTCAGGATTTCGTTGGAAACGGGAATATCTTCATATAAAATCTCGACAGAAGCATTCTCAGAAACTTCTTTGTGATATCTGCATTCAAGTCACAGAGTTGAATATTCCCTTTCACAGAGTAGGTTTGAAACACTCCTTTTGTAGTATCTGGAAGTGGACATTTGGATCGCCTTGACACCTACGGTGAAAAGGGAAATATCTTCTCATAAAAACTAGACAGAAGCAATCTCAGAATCTTCTTTGGGATATATGCACGCAGCTAACAGATTTGCACCTTTCTATTGACAGAGCAGTTTTGAAACAGTCTTTCTGTGGAATCTGCAAGTGGATATTTGGATAGCTTGGAGGATTTCGTTGGAAACGGGATTACGCATAAAAAGTAGACAGCAGCATCCTCAGAAACTTCTTTGTGATGTGTGCATTCAAGTCACAGATTTGAACATTCCCTTTTGTACACCAGTTTTGAAAGACTCTTTCTGTAGCATCTGGAAGTGAACATTAGGACAGCTTTCAGGTCTATGGTGAGAAAGGAAATATCTTCAAATAAAAACTAGACAGAAGCATTCTGATAAACTTGTTTGTGAAGTGTGATCTCAGCTAACAGAGGTGGATCTTTCTTTTGATAGAGCAGTTCTGAAAAACACTTTGTTGAATCTGCAAGTGGACATTTGTATAGATTTGAAGATTTCGTTGGAAACGGGAATTTCTTCATATCAAATCTAGATAGAAGCAATCTCAGAAACGTCTTTGTGATGTTTGCATTCAACTCATAGAGTTGAACATTCCGTTTCAGAGAGCAGCTTTGAAGCACTCTTTTTGTAGTATGTGCAAGCGGATATTTGGAGCGCTCTGAGGCCTACGGTGATAAAGCAAATATCTTCCCATAACCACTAGACAGAAACATTCTCAGAAACTCCTTTATGACGTATGCACTCACCTAACAGAAAAGAACCTTCCTTTTGACAGAGCAGTTTTGATACAATCTTTTTGTAGAATCTGCAAGTGGATATTTGGATAGCTGTGAAGATTTCGTTGGAAACGGGAATATCTTCCTATAAAATCTAGACAGAAGCATTCTCAGAAACTGCTCTGTGATGTCTGCATTCAAGTCACAGAGTTGAACATTGCCTTTCATAGAGCAGGTTTGAAACGCTCTTTTTGTAGTATATGGAAGTGGACTTTTCGGACGGTTTGAGGCCCATGGTGATAAAGGGAATATCTTCCCCTACAAGCTAGAAAGAAGCATTCTGTGAAACTTGTTTGTGATGTGTGTACTCAACTCACAGGAGTTGAACCTTTCTTTTTACAGAGCAGTTTTGAAACACTCTTTTTGTAGAATCTGCGAGGGCATATTTGGATAGATTTCAGGATTTCGTTGGAAAGGGGAATATCTTCATATAAAATCTCGACAGAAGCATTCTCAGAAACTTCTCTGTGATATGTGCATTGAAGTCACCGAGTTAAATATTCCCTTCCACACAGTAGGTTTGAAACACTCTTTTTTTGTAGTATCTGGAAGTGGAAATTTGGAGCGCTTTGATGCCTATGGTGAAAAAGGAAATATCTTCCAATAAAAACTAGTCAGAAGCAATCTCAGAATCTTCTTTGGGATATATGCACGCAGCTAACAGAGTTGAACCTTTCTATTGACAGAGCAGTTTAGAAACAGTCCTTCTGTGGAATCTGCAAGTGGATATTTGGATAGCTTGGAGGATTTCTTTGGAAACCGGGATTACGTATAAAAAGTAGACAGCAGCATCCTCAGAAACTTCTTTGTGATGTGTGCATTCAAGTCACAGAGTTGAGCATTCCCTTTCGTACAGCAGTTTTGAAACACTCTTTCTGTAGTATCTGGAAGTGAACATTAGGACAGCTTTCAGCTCTATGGTGAGAAAGGAAATATCTTCAAATAAAAACTAGACAGAAGCATTCTCATAAACTTGTTTGTGATGTGTGAACTCAGCTAAGAGAGGTGGATCTTTCTTTTGATAGAGCAGTTCTGAAAAACACTTTTTGTTGAATCCGCAAGTGGACATTTGGATAGATTTGAAGATTTCGTTGGAAACGGGAATATCTTCATATCAAACCTAGACAGAAGCATTCTCAGAAACGTCTTTGTGATGTTTGCATTCAACTCATAGAGTTGAACATTCCCTTTCAGAGAGCAGCTTTGAAGCACTCTTTTTGTAGTATGTGCAAGGGGATATATGGAGCGCTCTGAGGCCTAAGGTGAAAAAGCAAATATCTTCCCATAACCACTAGACAGAAACATTCTCAGAAACTCCTTTATGACATATGTACTCAACTAACAGAGAAGAACCTTCCTTTTGACAGAGCAGTTTTGATACACTCTTTTTGTAGAATCTGCAAGTGGATATTTGGATAGCTGTGAAGATTTCGTTGGAAACGGGAATATCTTCCTATAAAATCTAGACAGAAGCATTCTCAGAAACTGCTCTGTGATGTCTGGATTCAAGTCACAGAGTTGAACATTGCCGTTCATAGAGCAGGTTTGAAACACTCTTTTTGTAGTATATGGAAGTGGACGTTTCGGACGGTTTGAGGCCCATGGTGATAAAGGGAATATCTTCCCATACAAGCTAGAAAGAAGCATTCTGTGAAACTTGTTTGTGATGTGTGTACTCATCTAACAGAGTTGAACCTTTCTTTTTACAGAGCAGTTTTGAAACACTCTTTTTGTAGAATCTGCGTGGGGATATTTGGATAGATTTCAGGATTTCGTTGGAAACGGGAATATCTTCATATAAAATCTCGACAGAAGCATTCTCAGAAACTTCTTTGTGATATCTGCATTCAAGTCACAGAGTTGAATATTCCCTTTCACAGAGTAGGTTTGAAACACTCTTTTTGTAGTATCTGGAAGTGGACATTTTGAGCGCCTTGACACCTACGGTGAAAAGGGAAATATCTTCCCATAAAAACTAGACAGAAGCAATCTCAGAATCTTCTTTGGGATATATGCACGCAGCTAACAGAGTTGAACCTTTCTATTGACAGAGCAGTTTTGAAACAGTCTTTCTGTGGAATCTGCAAGTGCATATTTGGATAGCTTGGAGGATTTCGTTGTAAACGGGATTACGTATAAAAATTAGACAGCAGCATCCTCAGAAACTTCTTTGTGATGTGTGCATTCAAGTCACAGAGTTGAACATTCCCTTTCGTACAACAGTTTTGAAACACTCTTTCTGTAGCATCTGGAAGTGAACATTTGGACAGCTTTCAGGTCTATGGTGAGAAAGGAAATATCTTCAAATAAAAACTAGACAGAAGCATTCTCATAAACTTGTTTGTGATGTGTAAACTCAGCTAACAGAGGTGGATCTTTCTTTTGATAGAGCAGTTCTGAAAAACACTTTTTGTTGAATCTGCAAGTGGACATTTGGATAGATTTGAAGATTTCGTTGGAAACGGGAATATCTTCATATCAAATCTAGACAGAAGCATTCTCAGAAACGTCTTTGTGATGTTTGCATTCAACTCATAGAGTTGAACGTTCCGTTTCAGAGACCAGCTTTGAAGCACTCTTTTTGTAGTATGTGCAAGTGGATATTTGGAGCGCTCTGAGGCCTACGGTGAAAAAGCAAATATCTTCCCATAACCACTAGACAGAAACATTCTCAGAAACTCCTTTATGACGTATATACTCAACTAACAGAGAAGAACCTTCCTTTTGACAGAGCAGTTTTGATACACTCTTTTTGTAGAATCTGCAAGTGGATATTTGGATAGCTGTGAAGATTTCGTTGGAAACGGGAATATCTTCCTATAAAATCTAGACAGAAGTATTCTCAGAAACAGCTCTGTGATGTCTGCATTCAAGTCACAGAGTTGAACATTGCCTTTCATAGAGCAGGTTTGAAACGCTCTTTTTGTAGTATATGTAACTGGAGGTTTCGGACGGTTTGAGGCCCATGGTGATAAAGGGAATATCTTCCCCTACAAGCTAGAAAGAAGCATTCTGTGAAACTTGTTTGTGATGTGTGTACTCAACTAACAGTGTTGAACCTTTCTTTTTACAGAGTAGTTTTGAAACACTATTTTTGTAGAATCTGCGAGGGGATATTTGGATAGATTTCAGGATTTCGTTGGAAACGGGAATATCTTCATATAAAATCTCGACAGAAGCATTCTCAGAAACTTCTTTGTGATATCTGCATTCAAGTCACAGAGTTGAATATTCCCTTTCACAGAGTAGGTTTGAAACACTCTTTTTATAGTATCTGGAAGTGGACATTTGGAGCGCCTTGACACCTACGGTGAAAAGGGAAATATCTTCCCATAAAAACTAGACAGAAGCAATCTCAGAATCTTCTTTGGGATATATGCACGCAGCTAACAGAGTTGAACCTTTCTATTGACACAGCAGTTTAGAAACAGTCTTTCTGTGGAATCTGCAAGTGGATATTGGGATAGCTTGGAGGATTTCGTTGGAAACGGGATTACGTATAAAAAGTAGACAGCAGCATCCTCAGAAACTTCTTTGGGATGTGTGCATTCAAGTCACAGAGTTGAACATTCCCTTTCGTACAGCAGTTTTGAAACACTCTTTCTGTAGTATCTGGAAGTGAACATTAGGACAGCTTTCAGGTCTATGGTGAGAAAGGAAATATCTTCAAATAAAAACTAGACAGAAGCATTCTCATAAACTTGTTTGTGATGTGTGAACTCAGCTAACAGAGGTGGATCTTTCTTTTGATAGAGCAGTTCTGAAAAACACTTTTTGTTGAATCTGCAAGTGGACATTCGGATAGATTTGAAGATTTCATTGGAAACGGGAATATCTTCATATCAAATCTAGACAGAAGCATTCTCAGAAACGTCTTTGTGATGTTTGCATTCAACTCATAGAGTTGAACATTCCCTTTCAGAGAGCAGCTTTGAAGCACTCTTTTTGTAGTATGTGCAAGGGGATATTTGGAGCGCTCTGAGGCCTAAGGTGAAAAAGCAAATATCTTCCCATAACCACTAGACAGAAACATTCTCAGAAACTCCTTTATGACGTACGCACTCACCTAACAGAGAAGAACCTTCCTTTTGACAGAGCAGTTTTGATACACTCTTTTTGTAGAATCTGCAAGTGGATATTTGGATAGCTGTGAAGATTTCATTGGAAACGGGAATATCTTCCTATAAAATCTAGACAGAAGCATTCTCAGAAACTGCTCTGTGATGTCTGCATTCAAGTCACAGAGTTGAACATTGCCTTTCATAGAGCAGGTTTGAAACGCTCTTTTTGTAGTATATGGAAGTGGACGTTTCGGACGGTTTAAGGCCCATGGTGATAAAGGGAATATCTTCCCCTACTAGCTAGAAAGAAGCATTCTGTGAAACTTGTTTCTGATGTGTGTACTCAACTAACAGAGTTGAACCTTTCTTTTCACAGAGCAGTTTTGAAACACTCTTTTTGTAGAATCTGCGAGCGGATATTTGGATAGATTTCAGGATTTCGTTGGAAACGGGAATATCTTCATATAAAATCTCGACAGAAGCATTCTCAGAAACTTCTTTGTGATATCTGCATTCAAGTCACAGAGTTGAATATTCCCTTTCACCGAGTAGGTTTGAAAAACTCTTTTTGTAGTATCTGGAAGTGGACATTTGGAGCGCCTTGACGCCTACGGTAAAAAGGGAAATATCTTCCCATAAAAACTAGACAGAAGCAATCTCAGAATCTTCTTTGGGATATATGCACGCAGCTAACAGAGTTGAACCTTTCTATTGACAGAGCAGTTTTGAAACAGTCTTTCTGTGGAATCTGCAATTGGATATTTGGATAGCTTGGAGGATTTCGTTGGAAACGGGATTACGTATAAAAAGTAGACAGCAGCATCCTCCGAAACTTCTTTGTGATGTGTGCATTCAAGTCCCAGAGTTGAACATTCCCTTTCGTACAGCAGTTTTGAAACACTCTTTCTGTAGTATCTGGAAGTGAACATTAGGACAGCTTTCAGCTCTATGGTGAGAAAGGAAATATCTTCAAATAAAAACTAGACAGAAGCATTCTGATAAACTTGTTTGTGATGTGTGAACTCAGCTAACAGAGGTGGATCTTTCTTTGGTACAGCAGTTTTGAAAAACACTTTGTTGAATCTGCAAGGGGACATTTGGATAGATTTGAAGATTACGTTGGAAACGGGAATATCTTCATATCAAATCTAGACAGAAGCATTCTCAGAAACGTCTTTGTGATGTTGGCATTCAACTCATAGAGTTGAACATTCCGTTTCAGAGAGCAGCTTTGAAGCACTCTTTTTGTAGTATGTGCAAGTGGATATTTGGAGCGCTCTGAGGCCTAAGGTGCAAAAGCAAATATCTTCCCGTAACCAGTAGACAGAAACATTCTCAGAAACTCCTTTATGACGTATGTACTCAACTAACAGAGAAGAATCTTCCTTTTGACAGAGCAGTTTTGATACACTCTTTTTGTAGAATCTGCAAGTGGATATTTGGATAGCTGTGAAGGTTTCGTTGGAAACGGAAATATCTTCCTATAAAATCTACACAGAAGCATTCTCAGAAACTGCTCTGTGATGTCTGTATTCAAGTCACAGAGTTGAACATTGCCTTTCATAGAGCAGGTTTGAAACGCTCTTTTTGTAGTATATGGAAGTGGATGTTTCGGACGGTTGGAGGCCCATGGTGATAAAGGGAATATCTTCCCCTACAAGCTAGAAAGAAGCATTCTGTGAAACTTGTTTGTGATGTGTGTACTCAACTAACAGAGTTGAACCTTTCTTTTCACAGAGCAGTTTTGAAACACTCTTTTTGTAGAATTTGCGAGGGGATATTTGGATAGATTTCAGGATTTCGTTGGAAACGGGAATATCTTCATACAAAATCTCGACAGAAGCATTCTCAGAAACTTCTTTGTGATATGTGCATTCAAGTCACAGAGTTGAATATTCTCTTTCACAGAGTAGGTTTGAAACACTCTTTTTGTAGTATCTGGAAGTGGACATTTGGAGTGCCTTGACACCTACGGTGAAAAGGGAAATATCTTCCCATAAAAACTAGACAGAAGCAATCTCAGAATCTTCTTTGGGATACATGCACGCAGCTAACAGAGTTGAACCTTTCTATTGACAGAGCAGTTTTGAAACAGTCTTTCTGTGGAATCTGCAAGTGGATATTTGGATAGCTTGGAGGATTTCGTTGGAAACGGGATTAAGTATAAAAAGTAGACAGCCGCATCCTCAGAAACTTCTTTGTGATGTGTGCATTCAAGTCCCAGAGTTGAACATTCCCTTTCGTACAGCAGTTTTGAAACACTCTTTCTGTAGTATCTGGAAGTGAACATTAGGACAGCTTTCAGGTCTATGGTGAGAAAGGAAATATCTTCAAATAAAAACTAGACAGAAGCATTCTCATAAACTTGTTTGTGATGTGTGAACTCAGCTAACAGAGGTGGATCTTTCTTTTGATAGAGCAGTTCTGAAAAACACTTTTTGTTGAATCTGCAAGTGGACATCTGGATAGATTTGAAGATTTCGTTGGAAACGGGAATATCTTCATATCAAATCTAGACAGAAGCATTCTCAGAAACGTCTTTGTGATGTTTGCATTCAACTCATAGAGTTGAACATTCCGTTTCAGAGAGCAGCTTTGAAGCACTCTTTTTGTAGTATGTGCAAGTGGATATTTTGAGCGCTCTGAGGCCCACGGTGAAAAAGCAAATATCTTCCCATAACCACTAGACAGAAACATTCTCAGAAACTCCTTTATGACGTATGCACTCACCTAACAGAGAAGAACCTTCCTTTTGACAGAGCAGTTTTGATACACTCTTTTTGTAGAATCTGCAAGTGGATATTTGGATAGCTGTGAAGATTTCGTTGGAAACGGGAATATCCTCCTATAATATCTAGACAGAAGCATTCTCAGAAACTGCTCTGTGATGTCTGTATTCAAGTCACAGAGTTGAACATTGCCTTTCATAGAGCAGGTTTGAAACGCTCTTTTTGTAGTATATGGAAGTGGATGTTTCGGACGGTTTGAGGCCCATGGTGATAAAGGGAATATCTTCCCCTACAAGCTAGAAAGAAGCATTCTGTGAAACTTGTTTGTGATGTGTGTACTCAAGTAACAGAGTTGAACCTTTCTTTTTACAGAGCAGTTTTGAAACACTCTTTCTGTAGAATCTGCGAGGGGATATTTGGATAGATTTCAGGATTTCGTTGGAAACGGGAATATCTTCATATAAAATCTCGACAGAAGCATTTTCAGAAACTTCTTTGTGATATGTGCATTCAAGTCACAGAGTTGAATATTCCCTTTCACAGAGTACGTTTGAAACACTCTTTTTGTTGTATCTGGAAGTGGACATTTGGAGCGCCTTGACGCCTACGGTGAAAAGGGAAATATCTTCCCATAAAAACTAGACAGAAGCAATCTCAGAATCTTCTTTGGGATATATGCACGCAGCTAACAGAGTTGAACCTTTCTATTGACAGAGCAGTATTGAAACAGTCTTTCTGTGGAATCTGCAAGTGGATATTTGGATAGCTTGGAGGATTTCGTTGGAAACGGGATTACGTATAAAAAGTAGACAGCAGCATCCTCAGAAACATCCTTGTAATGTGTGCATTCAAGTCACAGAGTTGAACATTCCCTTTCGTACAGCAGTTTTGAAACACTCTTTCTGTAGTATCTGGAAGTGAACTTTAGGACAGCTTTCAGGTCTATCGTGAGAAAGGATATATCTTCAAATAAAAACTAGACAGAAGCATTCTGATAAACTTGTTTGTGAAGTGTGAACTCAGCTAACAGAGGTGGATCTTTCTTTTGATAGAGCAATTCTGAAAAACACTTTGTTGAATCTGCAAGTGGACATTTGGATAGATTTGAAGATTTCGTTGGAAACGGGAATATCTTCATATCAAATCTAGACAGAAGCATTCTCAGAAACGTCTTTGTGATGTTGGCATTCAACTCATAGAGTTGAACATTCCGTTTCAGAGAGCAGCTTTGAAGCACTCTTTTTGTAGTATGTGCAAGGGGATATTTTGAGCGCTCTGAGGCCTAAGGTGAAAAAGCAAATATCTTCCCATAACCACTAGACAGAAACATTCTCAGAAACTCCTTTATGACGTATGCACTCACCTAACAGAGAAGAACCTTCCTTTTGACAGAGCAGTTTTGATACACTCTTTTTGTAGAATCTGCAAGTTTATATTTGGATAGCTGTGAAGATTTCGTTGGAAACGGGAATATCTTCCTATAAAATCTAGACAGAAGCATTCTCAGAAACTGCTCTGTGATGTCTGCATTCAAGTCACAGAGTTGAACATTGTCTTTCATAGAGCAGGTTTGAAGCGCTCTTTTTGTAGTATATGGAAGTGGACGTTTCGGACGGTTTGAGGCCCATGGTGATAAAGGGAATATCTTCCCCTACAAGCTAGAAAGAAGCATTCTGTGAAACTTGTTTGTGATGTGTGTACTCAACTAACAGAGTTGAACCTTTCTTTTTACAGAGCAGTTTTGAAACACTCTTTTTGTAGAATCTGCGAGGGGATATTTGGATAGATTTCAGGATTTCGTTGGAAACGGGAAGATCTTCATATAAAATCTCGACAGAAGCATTCTCAGAAACTTCCTTGTGATATGTGCATTCAAGTCACAGAGTTGAATATTCCCTTTCACAGAGTAGGTTTGAAACACTCTTTTTGTAGTATCTGGAAGTGGTCATTTGGAGCGCCTTGACGCCCACGGTGAAAAGGGAAATATCTTCCCATAAAACTAGACAGAAGCAATCTCAGAATCTTCTTTGGGATATATGCATGCAGCTAACAGAGTTGAACCTTTCTATTGACAGAGCAGTTTTGAAACAGTCTTACTGTGGAATCTGCAAGTGGATATTTGGATAGCTTGGAGGATATCTTTGGAAACGGGATTACGTATAAAAAGTAGACAGCAGCATCCTCAGAAACTTCTTTGTGATGTGTGCATTCAAGTCACAGAGTTGAACATTCCCTTTCGTACAGCAGTTTTGAAACACTCTTTCTGTAGTATCTGGAAGTGAACATTAGGACAGCTTTCAGGTCTATGGTGAGAAAGGAAATATCTTCAAATAAAAACTTGAGAGAAGCATTCTCATAAATTTGTTTGTGATGTGTGAACTCAGCTAACAGAGGTGGATCTTTCTTTTGATAGAGCAGTTCTGAAAAACACTTTTTGTTGAATCTGCAAGTGGACATTTGGATAGATTTGAAGATTTCGTTGGAAACGGGAATATCTTCATATCAAATGCTAGACAGAAGCATTCTCAGAAACGTCTTTGCGATGTTTGCATTCAACTCATAGAGTTGAACATTCCGTTTCAGAGAGCAGCTTTGAGGCACTCTTTTTGTAGTATGTGCAAGTGGATATTTGGAGCGCTCTGAGGCCTACGGTGAAAAAGCAAATATCCTTCCCATAACCACTAGACAGAAACATTCTCAGAAACTCCTTTATGACGTATGCACTCACCTAACAGAGAAGAACCTTCCTTTTGACTGAGCACTTTTGATACACTCTTTTTGCAGAATCTGCAAGTGGATATTTGGATAGCTGTGAAGATTTCGTTGGAAACGGGAATATCTTCCTATAAAATCTAGACAGAAGCATTCTCAGAAACTGCTCTGTGATGTCTGCATTCAAGTCACAGAGTTGAACATTGCCTTTCCTAGAGCAGGTTTGAAACGCTCTTTTTGTAGTATATGGAACTGGATGTTTCGGACGGTTTGAGGCCCATGGTGATAAAGGGAATATCTTCCCCTACAAGCTAGAAAGAAGCATTCTGTGAAACTTGTTTGTGATGTGCGTACTCAACTAACAGAGTTGAACCTTTCTTTTTACAGAGCAGTTTTGAAACACTCTTTTTGTAGAATCTGCGAGGGGATATTTGGATACATTTCAGGATTTCGTTGGAAACGGGAATATCTTCATATAAAATCTCGACAGAAGCATTCTCAGAAGCTTCTTTGTGATATGTGCATTCAAGTCACAGAGTTGAATATTCCCTTTCACAGAGTAGGTTTGAAACACTCTTTTTGTAGTATCTGGAAGTGGACATTTGGAGCGCCTTGACGCCTACGTTGAAAAGGGAAATATCTTCTCATAAAAAGTAGACAGAAGCAATCTCAGAATCTTCTTTAGGATATATGCACGCAGCTAACAGAGTTGAACCTTTCTATTGACAGAGCAGTTTTGAAACAGTCTTTCTGTGGAATCTGCAAGTGGATATTTGGATAGCTTGGAGGATTTCGTTGGAAACGGGATTAAGTATAAAAAGTAGACAGCAGCATACTCAGAAACTTCTTTGTGATGTGTGCATTCAAGTCACAGAGTTGAACATTCCCTTTCGTACAGCAGTTTTGAAACACTCTTTCTGTAGTATCTGGAAGTGAACATTAGGACAGCTTTCAGCTCTATGGTGAGAAAGGAAATATCTTCAAATAAAAACTAGACAGAAGCATTCTCATAAACTTGTTTGTGATGTGTGAACTCAGCTAACAGAGGTGGATCTTTCTTTTGATAGAGCAGTTCTGAAAAACACTTTTTTTTGAATCTGCAAGTGGACATTTGGATAGATTTGAAGATTTCGTTGGAAACGGGAATATCTTCATATCAAATCTAGACAGAAGCATTCTCAGAAACGTCTTTGTGATGTTTGCATTCAACTCATAGAGTTGAACATTCCGTTTCAGAGAGCAGGTTTGAAACACTCTTTTTGTAGTATGTGCAAGTGGATATTTGGAGCGCTCCGAGGCCTACGGTGAAAAAGCAAATATCTTCCCATAACCACTAGACAGAAACCTTCTCAGAAACTCCTTTATGACGTATGCACTCACCTAACAGAAAAGAACCTTCCTTTTGACAGAGCAGTTTTGATACACTCTTTTTGTAGAATCTGCAAGTGGATATTTGGATAGCTGTGAAGATTTCGTTGGAAACGGGAATATCTTCCTATAAAATCTAGACAGAAGCATTCTCAGAAACTGCTCTGTGATGTCTGCATTCAAGTCACAGAGTTGAACATTGCCTTTCATAGAGCAGGTTTGAAACGCTCTTTTTGTAGTATATGGAAGTAGACGTTTCGGACGGTTTGAGACCCATGGTGATAAAGGGAATATCTTCCCCTACAAGCTAGAAAGAAGCATTGTGTGAAACTTGTTTGTGATGTGTGTACTCAACTAACAGAGTTGAACCTTTCTTTTTACAGAGCAGTTTTGAAACACTCTTTTTGTAGAATCTGCGAGGGGATATTTGGATAGATTTCAGGATTTCGTTGTAAACGAGAATATCTTCATATAAAATCTCGACAGAAGCATTCTCAGAAACTTCCTTGTGATATGTGCATTCAAGTCACAGAGTTGAATATTCCCTTTCATAGAGTAGGTTTGAAACACTCTTTTTGTAGTATCTGGAAGTGGACATTTGGAGCGCCTGGACGCCTACGGTGAAAAGGGAAATATCTTCCCATAAAAACTAGACAGAAGCAATCTCAGAATCTTCTTTGGGATATATGCACGCAGCTAACAGAGTTGAACCTTTCTATTGACAGAGCAGTTTTGAAACAGTCTTTCTGTGGAATCTGCAAGTGGATATTTGGACAGCTTGGAGGATTTCGTTGGAAACGGGATTAAGTATAAAAAGTAGACAGCAGCATCCTCAGAAACTTCTTTGTGATGTGTGCATTCAAGTCACAGAGTTGAACATTCCCTTTCGTACAGCAGTTTTGAAACACTCTTTCTGTAGTAACTGGAAGTGAACACTAGGACAGCTTTCAGGTCTATGGTGAGAAAGGAAATATCTTCAAATAAAAACTAGACAGAAGCATTCTCATAAACTTGTTTTGTGATGTGTGAACTCAGCTAACAGAGGTGGATCTTTCTTTTGATAGAGCAGTTCTGAAAAACACTTTTTGTTGAATCTGCAAGTGGACATTTGGATAGATTTGAAGATTTCGTTGGAAACGGGAATATCTTCATATCAAATCTAGACAGAAGCATTCTCAGAAACGTCTTTGCGATGTTTGCATTCAACTCATAGAGTTGAACATTCCGTTTCAGAGAGCAGCTTTGAGGCACTCTTTTTGTAGTATGTGCAAGTGGATATTTGGAGCGCCCTGAGGCCTACGGTGAAAAAGCAAATATCTTCCCATAACCACTAGACAGAAACATTCTCAGAAACTCCTTTATGACCTATGCACTCACCTATAAGAGAAGAACCTTCCTTTTGACAGAGCAGTTTTGATACACTCTTTTTGTAGAATCTGCAAGTGGATATTTGGATAGCTGTGAAGATTTCGTTGGAAACGGGAATATCTTCCTATAAAATCTAGACAGAAGCATTCTCAGAAACTGCTCTGTGATATCTGCATTCAAGTCACAGAGTTGAACATTGCTTTTCATAGAGCAGGTTTGAAACGCTCTTTTTGTAGTATATGGAAGTAGACGTTTCGGACGGTTTGAGGCCCATGGTGATAAAGGGAATATCTTCCCCTACAAGCTAGAAAGAAGCATTCTGTGAAACTTGTTTGTGATGTGTGTACTCAACTAACAGAGTTGAACTTTTCTTTTCACAGAGCAGTTTTGAAACACTCTTTTTGTAGAATCTGCGAGGGGATATTTGGATAGATTTCAGGATTTCGTTGGAAACGGGAATATCTTCATATAAAATCTCGACAGAAGCATTGTCAGAAACTTCTTTGTGATATGTGCATTCAAGTCACAGAGTTGAATATTCCCTTTCACAGAGTAGGTTTGAAACACTCTTTTTGTAGTATCTGGAATTGGACATTTGGAGCGCCTTGACACCTACGGTGAAAAGGGAAATATCTTCCCATAAAAACTAGACAGAAGCAATCTCAGAATCTTCTTTGGGATATATGCACGCAGCTAACAGAGTTGAACATTTCTATTTACAGAGCAGTTTTGAAACAGTCGTTCTGTGGAATCTGCAAGTGGATATTTCGATAGCTTGGAGGATTTCGTTGGAAACGGGATTACGTATCAAAAGTACACAGCAGCATCCTCAGAAACTTCTTTGTGATGTGTGCATTCAAGTCACAGAGTTGAACATTCCCTTTCGTACAGCAGTTTTGAAACACTCTTTCTGTAGTATCTGGAAGTGAACATTAGGACAGCTTTCAGCTCTATGGTGAGAAAGGAAATATCTTCAAATCAAAACTAGACAGAAGCACTCTCATAAACTTGTTTGTGATGTGTGAACTCAGCTAACAGAGGTGGATCTTTCTTTTGATAGAGCAGTTCTGAAAAACACTTTTTGTTGAATCTGCAAGAGGACATTTGGATAGATTTGAAGATTTCGTTGGAAACGGGAATATCTTCATATCAAATCTAGACAGAAGCATTCTCAGAAACGTCTTTGCGATGTTTGCATTCAACTCATAGAGTTGAACATTCCGTTTCAGAGAGCAGCTTTGAAGCACTCTTTTTGTAGCATGTGCAAGTGGATATTTGGAGCGCCCTGAGGCCTACGGGGAAAAAGCAAATATCTTCCCATAACCACTAGACAGAAAACATTCTCAGAAACTCCTTTATGACGTATGTACTCAACTAACAGAGAAGAACCTTCTTTTTGACTGAGCAGTTTTGATACACTCTTTTTGTAGAATCTGCAAGTGCATATTTGGATAGCTGTGAAGATTTCGTTGGAAACGGGAATATCTTCCTATAAAATCTAGACAGAAGCATTCTCAGAAACTGATCTGTGATGTCTGCATTCAAGTCACAGAGTTGAACATTGCCTTTCATAGAGCAGGTTTGAAACGCTCTTTTTGTAGTATATGGAAGTAGACGTTTCGGACGGTTTGAGGCCCATGGTGATAAAGGGAATATCTTCCCCTGCAAGCTAGAAAGAAGCATTCTGTGAAACTTGTTTGTGATGTGTGTACTCAACTAACAGAGTTGAACCTTTCCTTTTACAGAGCAGTTTTGAAACACTCTTTTTGTAGAATCTGCGAGGGGATATTTGGATAGATTTCAGGATTTCGTTGGAAACGGGAGTATCTTCATATAAAATCTCGACAGAAGCATTTTCAGAAACTTCTTTGTGATATGTGCATTCAAGTCACAGAGTTGAATATTCCCTTTCACAGAGTAGGTTTGAAACACTCTTTTTGTAGTATCTGGAAGTGGACATTTGGAGCGCCTTGACGCCTACGGTGAAAAGGGAAATATCTTCCCATAAAAACTAGACAGAAGCAATCTCAGAATCTTTTTTGGGATATATGCACGCAGCTAACAGAGTTGAACCTTTCTATTGACAGAGCAGTTTTGAAACAGTCTTTCTGTGGAATCTGCAAGTGGATATTTGGATAGCTTGGAGGATTTCGTTGGAAACGGGATTACGTATAAAAAGTAGACAGCAGCATCCTCAGCAAACTTCTTTGTGATGTGTGCATTCAAGTCACAGAGTTGAACATTCCCTTTCGTACAGCAGTTTTGAAACACTCTTTCTGTAGTATCTGGAAGTGAACATTAGGACAGCTTTCAGGTCTATGGTGAGAAAGGAAATATCTTCAAATAAAAACTAGACAGAAGCATTCTGATAAACTTGTTTGTGAAGTGTGATCTCAGCTAACAGAGGTGGATCTTTCTTTTGATAGAGCAGTTCTGAAAAACACTTTTTGTTGAATCTGCAAGTGGATATTTGGATAGATTTGAAGATTTCGTTGGAAACGGGAATATCTTCATATTAAATCTAGACAGAAGCATTCTCAGAAACGTCTTTGTGATGTTAGCATTCAACTCATAGAGTTGAACATTCCCTTTCAGAGAGCAGCTTTGAAGCACTCTTTTTGTAGTATGTGCAAGTGGACATTTGGAGCGCTTTGAGGCCTACGGGGAAAAAGCAAATATCTTCCCATAACCACTAGACAGGAACATTCTCAGAAACTCCTTTATGACGTATGCACTCACCTAACAGAGAAGAACCTTCCTTTTGACAGAGCAGTTTTGAGATACTCTTTTTGTAGAATCTGCAAGTGGATATTGGGATAGCTGTGAAGATTTCGTTGGAAACGGGAATATCTTCCTATAAAATCTAGACAGAAGCATTCTCAGAAACTGCTCTGTGATGTCTGCATTCAAGTCATAGAGTTGAACATTGCCTTTCATAGAGCAGGTTTGAAACGCTCTTTTTGTAGTATATGGAAGTGGACGTTTCGGACGGTTTGAGGCCCATGGTGATAAAGGGAATATCTTCCCCTACAAGCTAGAAAGAAGCATTGTGTGAAACTTATTTGTGATGTGTGTACTCAACTAACAGAGTTGAACCTTTCTTTTTACAGAGCAGTTTTGAAACACTCTTTTTGTAGAATCTGCGAGGGGATATTTGGATAGATTTCAGCATTTCGTTGGAAACGGGAATATCTTCATATAAAATACTCGACAGAAGCATTCTCAGAAACTTCCTTGTGATATGTGCATTCAAGTCACAGAGTTGAATATTCCCTTTCACAGAGTAGGTTTGAAACAGTCTTTTTGTAGTATCTGGAAGTGGACATTTGGAGCGCCTTGATGCCTACGGTGAAAAGGGAAATATCTTCCCATAAAAACTAGACAGAAGCAATCTCAGAATCTTCTTTGGGATATATGCACGCAGCTAACAGAGTTGAACCTTTCTATTGACAGAGCAGTTTTGAAACAGTCTTTCTGGGGAATCTGCAAGTGGATATTTGGATAGCTTGGAGGATTTCGTTGGAAACAGGATTACGTATAAAAAGTAGACAGCAGCATCCTCAGGAAACTTCTTTGTGATGTGTGCATTCAAGTGACAGAGTTGAACATTCCCTTTCGTACAGCAGTTTTGAAACACTCTTTCTGTAGTATCTGGAAGTGAACATTAGGACAGCTTTCAGCTCTATGGTGAGAAAGGAAATATCTTCAAATAAAAACTAGACAGAAGTATTCTCATAAACTTGTTTGTGATGTGTGAACTCAGCTAACAGAGGTGGACCTTTCTTTTGATAGAGCAGTTCTGAAAAACACTTTTTGTTGAATCTGCAAGTGGACATTTGGATAGATTTGAAGATTTCGTTGGAAACGGGAATATCTTCATATCAAATCTAGACAGAAGCATTCTCGGAAACGTCTTTGTCATGTTTGCATTCAACTCATAGAGTTGAACATTCCCTTTCAGAGAGCAGCTTTGAAGCACTCTTTTTGTAGTATGTGCAAGGGGATATTTGGAGTGCTCTGAGGCCTACGGTGAAAAAGCAAATATCTTCCCATAAACACTAGACAGAAACATTCTCAGAAACTCCTTTATGACGTATGCACTCACCTAACAGAGAAGAACCTTCCTTTTGACAGAGCAGTTTTGATACACTCTTTTTGTAGAATCTGCAAGTGGATATTTGGATACCTGTGAAGATTTCGATGTAAACGGGAATATCTTCCTATAAAATCTAGACAGAAGCATTCTCAGAAACTGCTCTGTGATGTCTGCTTTCAAGTCACAGAGTTGAACATTGCCTTTCATAGAGCAGGTTTGAAACGCTCTTTTTGTAGTATATGGAAGTGGACTTTTCGGACGGTTTGAGGCCCATGGTGATAAAGGGAATATCTTCCCCTACAAGCTAGAAAGAAGCATTCTGTGAAACTTGTTTGTGATGTGTGTACTCAACTAACAGAGTTGAACCTTTCTTTTTACAGAGCAGTTTTGAAACACTCTTTTTGTAGAATCTGCGAGGGGATATTTGGATAGATTTCAGGATTTCGTTGGAAACGGGAATATCTTCATATAAAATCGCGACAGAAGCATTCTTAGAAACTTTTTGTGATACCTACATTCAAATCAAAGAGTTGAATATTCCCTTTCACACAGTAGGTTTGAAACACTCTTTTTGTAGTATCTGGAAGTGGACATTTGGAGCGCCTTGACGCCTACGGTGAAAAAGGAAATATGTTCCCATAAAAACTAGACAGCAGCAATCTCAGAATCTTCTTTGGGATATATGTACGCAGCTAACAGAGTTGAACTTTTCTATTGACAGAGCAGTTTTGAAACAGTCTTTCTGTTAAATCTGCAAGTGGATATTTGGATAGCTTGGAGGATTTCGTTGGAAACGGGATTACATATAAAAAGTAGACAGCAGCATCCTCAGAAACTTCTTTGTGATGTGTGCATTCAAGTCACACAGTTGAACATTCCCTTTCGTACAGCAGTTTTGAAACACTCTTTCTGTAGTATCTGGAAGTGAACATTAGGACAGCTTTCAGCTCTATGGTGAGAAAGGAAATATCTTCAAATAAAAACTAGACAGAAGCATTCTCATAAACTTGTTTGTGATGTGTGAACTCAGCTAACAGAGGTGGATCTTTCTTTTGATAGAGCAGTTCTGAAAAACACTTTTTGTTGAATATGCAAGTGGACATTTGGATAGATTTGAAGATTTCGTTGGAAACGGGAATATCTTCATATCAAATCTAGACAGAAGCATTCCCAGAAACGTCTTTGTGATGTCTGCATTCAACTCATAGAGTTGAACATTCCCTTTCAGAGAGCAGCTTTGAAGCACTCTTTTTGTAGTATGTGCAAGGGGATAATTGGAGTGCTCTGAGGCCTAGGGTGAAAAAGCAAACATCTTCCCATAACCACTAGACAGAAACATTCTCAGAAACTCCTTTATGACGTATGCACTCACCTAACAGAGAAGAACCTTCCTTTTGACAGAGCAGTTTTGATACACTCTTTTTGTAGAATCTGCAAGTGGATATTTGGATAGCTGTGAAGATTTCGTTGGAAACGGGAATATCTTCCTATAAAATCTAGACAGAAGCATTCTCAGAAACTGCTCTGTGTTGTCTGCATTCAAGTCACAGAGTTGAACATTGCCTTTCATAGAGCAGGTTTGAAACACTCTTTTTGTAGTATATGGAAGTGGACGTTTCGGACGGTTTGAGGCCCATGGTGATTTAGGGAATATCTTCCCCTACAAGCTAGAAAGAAGCATTCTGTGAAACTAGTTTGTGATGTGTGTACTCAACTAACAGTAGTTGAACCTTTCTTTTCACAGGAGCAGTTTTGAAACACTCTTTTTGTAGAATCTGCGAGGGGATATTTGGATAGATTTCAGCATTTCGTTGGAAACGGGAATATCTTCATATAAAATCTCGACAGAAGCATTCTCCGAAACTTCCTTGTGATATGTGCATTCAAGTCACAGAGTTGAATATTCCCTTTCACAGAGTAGGTTTGAAACACTCTTTTTGTAGTATCTGGAAGTGGACATTTGGAGCGCCTTGACGCCTACGGTGAAAAGGGAAATATCTTCCCATAAAAACTAGACAGAAGCAATCTCAGAATCTTCTTTGGGATATATGCACGCAGCTAACAGACTTGAATCTTTCTGTTGACAGAGCAGATTTGAAACAGTCTTTCTGTGGAATCTGCAAGTGGATATTTGGATAGATTGGAGGATTTCGTTGGAAACGGGATTACATATAAAAAGTAGACAGCAGCATCCTCCGAAACTTCTTTGTGATGTGTGCATTCAAGTCACAGAGTTGAACATTCCCTTTCGTACAGCAGTTTTGAAACACTCTTTCTGTAGTATCTGGAAGTGAACATTAGGACAGCGTTCAGCTCTATGGTGAGAAAGGAAATATCTTCAAATAAAAACTAGACAGAAGCATTCTCATAAACTTGTTTGTGATGTGTGAACTCAGCTAACAGAGGTGGATCTTTCTTTTGATAGAGCAGTTCTGAAAAACACTTTTTGTTGAATCTGCAAGTGGACATTTGGATAGATTTGAAGATTTCGTTGGAAACGGGAATACCTTTATATCAAATCTAGACAGAAGCATTCTCAGAAACGTCTTTGTCATGTTTGCATTCAACTCATAGAGTTGAACATTCCCTTTCAGAGAGCAGCTTTGAAAGACTCTTTTTGTAGTATGTGCAAGTGGATATTTGGAGCGCTACTGAGGCCTACGGTGAAAAAGCAAATATCTTCCCATAACCACTAGACAGAAACATTCTCAGAAACTCCTTTATGACGTATGTACTCAACTAACAGAGAAGAACATTCTTTTTGACAGAGCAGTTTTGATACACTCTTTTTGTAGAATCTGCAAGTGCATATTTGGATAGCTGTGAAGATTTCGTTGGAAACGGGAATATCTTCCTATAAAATCTAGACAGAAGCATTCTCAGAAACTGCTCTGTGATGTCTGCATTCAAGTCACAGAGTTGAACATTGCCTTTCATAGAGCAGGTTTGAAACGCTCTTTTTGTAGTATATGGAAGTGGACGTTTTGGACGGTTTGAGGCCCATGGTGATAAAGGGAATATCTTCCCCTACAAGCTAGAAAGAAGCATTCTGTGAAACTTGTTTGTGATGTGTGTACTCAACTAACAGAGTTGAACCTTTCTTTTCACAGAGCAGTTTTGAAACACTCTTTTTGTAGAATCTGCGAGGGGATATTTGGATAGATTTCAGGATTTCGTTGGAAACGGGAATACCTTCATATAAAATCTCGACAGAAGCATTCTCAGAAAGTTCTTTGTGATATGTGCATTGAAGTCACAGAGTTGAATATTCCCTTTCACAGAGTAGGTTTGAAACACTCTTTTTGTAGTATCTGGAAGTGGACATTTGGAGCGCCTTGACACCTACGGTGAAAAGGGAAATATCTTCCCATAAAAACTAGACAGAAGCAATCTCAGAATCTTCTTTGGGATATATGCACGCAGCTAACAGAGTTGAACCTTTCTATTGACAGAGCAGTTTTGAAATAGTCTTTCTGTGGAATCTGCAAGTGGATATTTGGATAGCTTGGAGGATTTCGTTGGAAACGGGATTAGGTATAAAAGTAGACAGCAGCCTCCTCTGAAACTTCTTTGTGATGTGTGCATTCAAGTCACAGAGTTGAACATTCCCTTTCGTACAGCAGTTTTGAAACACTCTTTCTGTAGTATCTGGAAGTGAACATTAGGACAGCTTTCAGGTCTATGGTGAGAAAGGAAATATCTTCAAATAAAAACTAGACAGAAGCATTCTCATAAACTTGTTTGTGATGTGTGAACTCAGCTAACAGAGGTGGATCTTTCTTTTGATAGAGCAGTTCTGAAAAACACTTTTTGTTGAATCTGCAAGTGGACATTTGGATAGATTTGAAGATTTCGTTGTAAACGGGAATATCTTCATATCAAATCTAGACAGAAGCATTCCCAGAAACGTCTTTGTGATGTTTGCATTCAACTCATAGAGTTGAACATTCCGTTTCAGAGAGCAGCTTTGAAGCACTCTTTTTGTAGTATGTGCAAGTGGATATTTGGAGCGCTCTGAGGCCTACGGTGAAAAAGCAAGTATCTTCCCATAACCACTAGACAGAAACATTCTCAGAAACTCCTTTATGACGTATGTACTCAACTAACAGAGAAGAACCTTCCTTTTGACAGAGCAGTTTTGACACACTCTTTTTGTAGAATCTGCAAGTGGATATTTGGATAGCTGTGAAGATTTCGTTGGAAACGGGAATATCTTCCTATAAATTCTAGACAGAAGCATTCTCAGAAACTGCTCTGTGATGTCTGCATTCAAGTCACAGAGTTGAACATTGCCTTTCATAGAGCAGGTTTGAAACGCTCTTTTTGTAGTATATGGAAGTGGATGTTTCGGACAGTTGGAGGCCCATGGTGATAAAGGGAATATCTTCCCCTGCAAGCTAGAAAGAAGCATTCTGTGAAACTTGTTTGTGATGTGTGTACTCAACTAACAGAGTTGAACCTTTCTTTTTACACAGCAGTTTTGAAACACTCTTTTTGTAGAATCTGCGAGGGGATATTTGGATAGATTTCAGGATTTCGTTGGAAACGGGAATACCTTCATATAAAATCTCGACAGAAGCATTCTCAGAAACTTCTTTGTGATATGTGCATTCAAGTCACAGAGTTGAATATTCCCTTTCACAGAGTAGGTTTGAAACACTCTTTTTGTAGTATCTGGAAGTGGACATTTGGAGCGCCTTGACACCTACGGTGAAAAGCGAAATATCTTCCCACAAAAACTAGACAGAAGCAATCTCAGAATCTTCTTTGGGATATATGCACGCAGCTAACAGAGTTGAACCTTTCTATTGACAGAGCAGTTTTGAAACAGTCTTTCTGTGGAATCTGCAAGTGGATATTTGGAAAGCTTGGAGGATTTCGTTGGAAACGGGATTAAGTATAAAAAGTAGACAGCAGCATCCTCAGAAACTTCTTTGTGATGTGTGCATTCAAGTCACAGAGTTGAACATTCCCTTTCGTACAACAGTTTTGAAGCACTCTTTCTGTAGTATCTGGAAGTGAACATTAGGACAGCTTTCAGGTCTATGGTGAGAAAGGAAATATCTTCAAATAAAAACTAGACAGAAGCATTCTCATAAACTTGTTTATGATGTGTGAACTCAGCTAACAGAGGTGGATCTTTCTTTTGATAGAGCAGTTCTGAAAAACACTTTTTGTTGAATCTGCAAGTGGACATTTGGATAGATTTGAAGATTTCGTTGGAAACGGGAATATTTTCATATCAAATCTAGACAGAAGCATTCTCAGAAACGTCTTTGCGATGTTTGCATTCAACTCATAGAGTTGAACATTCCGTTTCAGAGAGCAGCTTTGAAGCACTCTTTTTGTAGTATGTGCAAGTGGATATTTGGAGCGCTCTGAGGCCTACGGGGAAAAAGCAAATATCTTCCCATAACCACTAGACAGAAACATTCTCAGAAACTCCTTTATGACGTATGCACTCACCTAACAGAGAAGAACCTTCCTTTTGACAGAGCAGTTTTGATACACTCTTTTTGTAGAATCTGCAAGTGGATATTTGGATAGCCGTGAAGATTTCGTTGGAAACGGGAATATCTTCCTATAAAATCTAGACAGAAGCATTCTCAGAAACTGCTCTGTGATGTCTGCATTCAAGTCACAGAGTTGAACATTGCCTTTCATAGAGCAGGTTTGAAACGCTCTTTTTGTAGTATATGGAAGTGGATGTTTCGGACGGTTGGAGGCCCATGGTGATAAGGGGAATATCTTCCCCTACAAGCTAGAAAGAAAGCATTCTGTGAAACTTGTTTGTGATGTGTGTACTCAACTAACAGAGTTGAACCTTTCTTTTTACAGAGCAGTTTTGAAACACTCTTTTTGTAGAATCTGCGAGGGGATATTTGGATAGATTTCAGGATTTCGTTGGAAACGGGAATATCTTCATATAAAATCTCGACAGAGCATTCTCTGAAACTTCTTTTTGATATGTGCATTCAAGTCACAGAGTTCAATATTCCCTTTCACAGAGTAGGTTTGAAACACTCTTTTTGTAGTATCTGAAGTGGACATTTGGAGCGCCTTGACGCCTACGGTGAAAAGGGAAATATCTTCTCATAAAAAGTAGACAGAAGCAATCTCAGAATCTTCTTTGGGATATATGCACGCAGCTAACAGAGTTGAACCTTTCTATTGACAGAGCAGTTTTGAAACAGTCTTTCTGTGGAATCTGCAAGTGGATATTTGGATAGCTTGAAGGATTTCGTTGGAAACGGGATTACGTATAAAAAGTAGACAGCAGCATCCTCAGAAACTTCTTTGTGATGTGTGCATTCAAGTCACAGAGTTGAACATTCCCTTTCGTACAGCAGTTTTGAAACACTTTCTGTAGTATCTGGAAGTGAACATTAGGACAGCTTTCAGGTCTATGGTGAGAAAGGAAATATCTTCAAATAAAAACTAGACAGAAGCATTCTGATAAACTTGTTTGTGAAGTGTGAACTCAGCTAACAGTGGTGGATCTTTCTTTTGATACAGCAGTTTTGAAAAACACTTTGTTGAATCTGCAAGTGGACATTTGGATAGATTTGAAGATTTCGTTGGAAACGGGAATATCTTCATATCAAATCTAGACAGAAGCATTCTCGGAAACGTCTTTGTGATGTTTGCATTCAACTCATAGAGTTGAACATTCCGTTTCAGAGAGCAGCTTTGAGGCACTCATTTTGTAGTATGTGCAAGTTGATATTTGGAGCGCTCTGAGGCCTTCGGTGAAAAAGCAAATATCTTCCCATAACCACTAGACAGAAACGTTCTCAGAAACTCCTTTATGACGTATGCACTCACCTAACAGAGAAGAACCTTCCTTTTGACAGAGCAGTTTTGATACACTCTTTTTGTAGAATCTGCAAGTGGATATTGGGATAGCTGTGAAGATTTCGTTGGAAACGGGAATATCTTCCTATAAAATCTAGACAGAAGCATTCTCAGAAACTGCTATGTGATGTCTGCATTCAAGTCACAGAGTTGAACATTGCCTTTCCTAGAGCAGGTTTGAAACGCTCTTTTTGTAGTATATGGAAGTGGAAGTTTCGGACGGTTTGAGGCACATGGTGATAAAGGGAATATCTTCCCCTACAAGCTAGAAAGAAGCATTCTGTGAAACTTTTTTGTGATGTGTGTACTCAACTAACAGAGTTGAACCATTCTTTTTACAGAGCAGTTTTGAAACACTCTTTTTGTAGAATCTGCGTGGGGATATTTGGATAGATTTCAGGATTTCGTTGGAAACGGGATTATCTTCATATAAAATCTCGACAGAAGCATTCTCAGAAACTTCTTTGTGATATGTGTATTCAAGTCACAGAGTTGAATACTCCCTTTCACAGAGTAGGTTTGAAACACTCTTTTTGTAGTATCTGGAAGTGGACATTTGGAGCGCCTTGACGCCTACGGTGAAAAGGGAAATATCTTCCCATAAAAACTAGACAGAAGTAATCTCAGAATCTTCTTTGGGATATATGCACGCAGCTAACAGAGTTGAATCTTTCTATTGACAGAGCAGTTTTGAAACAGTCTTTCTGTGGAATCTGCAAGTGGATATTTGGATAGCTTGGAGGATTTCGTTGGAAACGGGATTACGTATAAAAAGTAGACAGCAGCATCCTCAGAAACTTCTTTGTGATGTGTGCATTCAACTCACAGAGTTGAACATTCCCTTTCGTACAGCAGTTTTGAAACACTCTTTCTGTAGTAACTGGAAGTGAACATTAGGACAGCTTTCAGGTCTATGGTGAGAAAGGAAATATCTTCAAATAAAAACTAGACAGAAGCATTTTCATAAACTTGTTTGTGATGTGTGAACTCAGCTAACAGAGGTGGATCTTTCTTTTGATAGAGCAGTTCTGAAAAACACTTTTTGTTGAATCTGCAAGTGGACATTTGGATAGATTTGAAGATTTCGTTGGAAACGGGAATAACTTCATATCAAATCTAGACAGAAGCATTCTCAGAAACGTCTTTGTGATGTTTGCATTCAACTCATAGAGTTGAACATTCACTTTCAGAGAGCAGCTTTGAAGCACTCTTTTTGTAGTATGTGCAAGTGGATGTTTTGATCGCTCTGTGGCCTACGGTGAAAAAGCAAATATCTTCCCATAACCACTAGACAGAAACATTCTCAGAAACTCCTTTATGACGTATGCACTCACCTAACAGAGAAGAACCTTCCTTTTGACAGAGCAGTTTTGATACACTCTTTTTGTAGAATCTGCAAGTGGATATTTGGATAGCTGTGAAGATTTCGTTGGAACGGGAATATCTTCCTATAAAATCTAGACAGAAGCATTCTCAGAAACTGCTCTGTGATGTCTGCATTCAAGTCACAGAGTTGAACATTGCCTTTCATAGAGCAGGTTTGAAATGCTCTTTTTGCAGTATATGGAAGTGGACGTTTCAGACGGTTTGAGGCCCATGGTGATAAAGGGAATATCTTCCCCTACAAGCTAGAAAGAAGCATTCTGTGAAACTTGTTTGTGATGTGTGTACTCAACTAACAGAGTTGAACCTTTCTTTTTACAGAGCACTTTTGAAACACTCTTTTTGTAGAATCTGCGAGGGGATATTTGGATAGATTTCAGGATTTGGTTGGAAACTGGAATATCTTCATATAAAATCTCGACAGAAGCATTCTCAGAAACTTCTTTGTGATATCTGCCTTTAAGTCACAGAGTTGAATATTCCCTTTCACAGAGTAGGTTTGAAACACTCTTTTTGTAGTATCTGGAAGTGAACATTTGGAGCGCCTTGACACCTACGGTGAAAAGGGAAATATCTTCCCATAAAAACTAGACAGAAGCAATCTCAGAATCTTCTTTGGGATATATGCACGCAGCTAACAGAGTTGAACCTTTCTATTGACAGAGCAGTTTTGAAACAGTCTTTCTATGGATTCTGCAAGTGGATATTTGGATAGCTTGGAGGATTTCGTTGGAAACGGGATTACGTATAATAAGTAGACAGCAGCATCCTCAGAAACTTCTTTCTGATGTGTGCATTCAAGTCACAGAGTTGAACATTCCCTTTCGTACAGCAGTTTTGAAACACTCTTTCTGTAGTATCTGGAAGTGAACATTAGGACAGCTTTCAGGTCTATGGTGAGAAAGGAAATATCTTCAAATAAAAATTAGACAGAAGCATTCTCAAAAACATGTTTGCGATGTCTGAACTCAGCTAACAGAGGTGGATCTTTCTTTTGATAGAGCAGTTCTGAAAAACACTTTTTGTTGAATCTGCAAGTGGACATTTGGATAGATTTGAAGATTTCGTTGGAAACGGGAATATCTTCATATCAAATCTAGACAGAAGCATTCTCAGAAACGTCTTTGCGATGTTTGCATTCAACTCATAGAGTTGAACATTCCCTTTGAGAGAGCAGCTTTGAAGCACTCTTTTTGTAGCATGTGCAAGTGGACATTTGGAGCGCCCTGAGGCCTACGGGGAAAAAGCAAATATCTTCCCATAACCACTAGACAGAAACATTCTCAGAAACTCCTTTATGACGTATGCACTCACCTAACAGAGAAGAACCTTCCTTTTGAGAGAGCAGTTTTGATACACTCTTTTTGTAGAATCTGCAAGTGGATATTTGGATAGCTGTGAAGATTTCGTTGGAAACGGGAATATCTTCCTATAAAATCTAGACAGAAGCATTCTCAGAAACTGCTCTGTGATGTCTGCATTCAAGTCACAGAGTTGAACATTGCCTTTCCTGGAGCAGGTTTGAAACGCTCTTTTTGTAGTATATGGAAGTGGACGTTTCGGACGGTTTGAGGCCCATGGTGATAAAGGGAATATCTTCCCCTACAAGCTAGAAAGAAGCATTCTGTGAAACTTGTTTGTGATGTGTGTACTCAACTAACAGAGTTGAACCTTTCTTTTTAAAGAGCAGTTTTGAAACACTCTTTTTGTAGAATCTGCGAGGGGATATTTGGAGAGATTTCAGGATTTCGTTGGAAACGGGAATATCTTCATATAAAATCTCGACAGAAGCATTCTCAGAAACTTCATTGTGATATCTGCATTCAAGTCACAGAGCGGAATATTCCCTTTCAGAGAGTAGGTTTGAAACACTCTTTTTGTAGTATCTGGAAGTGGACATTTGGAGCGCCTTGACACCTACGGTGAAAAGGGAAATATCTTCCCATGAAAACTAGACAGAAGCAATCTCAGAATTTTCTTTGGGATATATGCACACAGCTAACAGAGTTGAACTTTTCTATTGAAATAGCAGTTTTGAAACAGTCTTTCTGTGGAATCTGCAAGTGGATATTTGGATAGCTTGGAGGATTTCGTTGGAAACGGGATTACGTATAAAAAGTAGACAACAGCATCCTCAGAAACATCCTTGTGATGTGTGCATTCAAGTCACAGAGTTGAACATTCCCTTTCGTACAGCAGTTTTGAAACACTCTTTCTGTAGTATCTGGAAGTGAACTTTAGGACAGCTTTCAGGTCTATAGTGAGAAAGGATATATCTTCAAATAAAAACTAGACAGAAGCATTCTCATAAACTTGTTCGTGATGTGTGAACTCAGCTAAGAGCCGTGGATCTTTCTTTTGATAGAGCAGTTCTGAAAAACACTTTTTGTTGAATCTGCAAGTGGACATTTGGATAGATTTGAAGATTTCTTTGGAAACGGGAATATCTTCATATCAAATCTAGACAGAAGCATTCTCAGAAACGTCTTTGTGATGTTTGCATTCAACTCATAGAGTTGAACATTCCCTTTCAGAGAGCAGTTTTGAAGCACTCTTTTTGTAGTAAGTGCAAATTGACATTTGGAGCGCTTTGAGGCCTAAGGGGAAAAAGCAAATATCTTCCCATAACCACTAGACAGAAACATTCTCAGAAACTCCTTTATGACGTATGCACTCACCTAACAGAGAAGAACCTTCCATTTGACAGAGCAGTTTTGATACACTCTTTTTGTAGAATCTGCAAGTGGATATTTGGATAGCTGTGAAGATTTCGTTGGAAACGGGAATATCTTCCTATAAAATCTAGACAGAAGCATTCTCAGAAACTGCTCTGTGATGTCTGCATTCAAGTCACAGAGTTGAACATTGCTTTTCCAAGAACAGGTTTGAAACGCTCTTTTTGTAGTATATGGAAGTGGACGTTTCGGACGGTTTGAGGCCCATGGTGATAAAGTGAATATCTTCCCCTACAAGCTAGAAAGAAAGCATTCTGTGAAACTTATTTGTGATGTGTGTACTCAACTAACAGAGTTGAACCTTTCTTTTTACAGAGCAGTTTTGAAACACTCTTTTTGTAGAATCTGCGAGGGGATATTTGGATAGATTTCAGGATTTCTTTGGAAACGGGAATATCTTCATATAAAATCTCGACAGAAGCATTCTCAGAAACTTCTTTGTGATATGTGCATTCAAGTCACAGAGTTGAATATTCCCTTTCACCGAGTAGGTTTGAAACACTCTTTTTGTAGTATCTGGAAGTGGACATTTGGAGCGCCTTGACGCCTACGGTGAAAAGGGAAATATCTTCCCATAAAAACTAGACAGAAGCAATCTCAGAATCTTCTTTGGGATATATGCACGAAGCTAACAGAGTTGAACCTTTCTATTGACAGAGCAGTTTTGAAACAGTCTTTCTGTGGAATCTGCAAGTGGATATTTGGATAGCTTGGAGGATTTCAATGGAAACGGGATTACGTATAAAAAGTAGACAGCAGCATCCTCAGAAACTTCTTTGTGATGTGTGCATTCAAGTCACAGAGTTGAACATTCCCTTTCGTACAGCAGTTTTGAAACACTCTTTCTGTAGCATCTGGAAGTGAACATTAGGACAGCTTTCAGGTCTATGGTGAGAAAGGAAATATCTTCAAATAAAAACTAGACAGACAAGCATTCTCATAAACTTGTTTGTGATGTGTGAACTCAGCTAACAGACGTGGATCTTTCTTTTGATACAGCAGTTTTGAAAAACACTTTTTGTTGAATCTGCAAGTGGACATTTGGATAGATTTGAAGATTTCGTTGGAAACGGGAATATCTTCATATCAAATCTAGACAGAAGCATTCTCAGAAACGTCTTTGTGATGTTTGCATTCAACTCATAGAGTTGAACATTCCGTTTCAGAGAGCAGCTTTGAAGCACTCTTTTTGTAGTATGTGCAAGTGGATATTTGGATCGCTCTGAGGCCTACGGTGAAAAAGCAAATATCTTCCCGTAACCACTAAACAGAAACATTCTCAGAAACTCCTTTATGACGTATGTACGCAACTAACAGAGAAGAACCTTCTTTTTGACAGAGCAGTTTTGATACACTCTTTTTGTAGAATCTCCAAGTGGATATTTGGATAGCTGTGAAGATTTCGTTGGAAACGGGAATATCTTCCTATAAAATCTAGACAGAAGCATTCTCAGAAACTGCTCTGTGATGTCTGCATTCAAGTCACAGAGTTGAACATTGCCTTTCATAGAGCAGGTTTGAAACGCTCTTTTTGTAGTATATGGAAGTGGACTTATCGGACGGTTTGAGGCCCATGGTTATAAAGGGAATATCTTCCCCTACAAGCTAGAAAGAAGCATTCTGTGAAACTTGTTTGTGATGTGTGTACTCAACTAACAGAGTTGAACCTTTCTTTTCACAGAGCAGTTTTGAAACACTCTTTTTGTAGAATCTGCGAGGGGATATTTGGATAGATTTCAGGATTTGGTTGGAAACGGGAATATCTTCATATAAAATCTCGACAGAAGCATTCTCAGAAACTTCTTTGTGATATGTGCATTCAAGTCTCAGTGTTGAATATTCCCTTTCACAGAGTAGGTTTGAAACACTCTTTTTGTTGTATCTGGAAGTGGACATTTGGAGCGCCTTGACACCTACGATGAAAAGGGAAATATCTTCCCATAAAAACTAGACAGAAGCAATCTCAGAATCTTCTTTGGGATATATGCAGGCAGCTAACAGAGTTGAACATTTGTATTGACAGAGCAGTTTTGAAACAGTCTTTCTGTGGAATCTGCAAGTGGATATTTGGATAGCTTGGAAGTTTTCTTTGGAAACGGGATTACGTAAAAAAAGTAGACTGCAGCATCCTCAGAAACATCCTTGTGATGTGTGCATTCAAGTCACAGAGTTGAACATTCCCTTTCGTACAGCAGTTTTGAAACACTCTTTCTGTAGTATCTGGAAGTGAACTTTAGGACAGCTTTCAGGTCTATAGTGAGAAAGGATATATTTTCAAATAAAAACTAGACGGAAGCATTCTGATAAACTTGTTTGTGAAGTGTGATCTCAGCTAACAGAGGTGGATCTTTCTTTGAATAGAGCAGTTCTGAAAAACACTTTGTTGAATCTGGAAGTGGACATTTGGATAGATTTCAAGATTTCGTTGGAAACGGGAATATCTTCATATCAAATCTAGACAGAAGCATTCTCAGAAACGTCTTTGCGATGTTTGCATTCAACTCATAGAGTTGAACATTCCCTTTCAGAGAGCAGCTTTGAAGCACTCTTTTTGTAGTATGTGCAAGTTGACATTTGGAGCGCTTTGAGGCCTACGGGGAAAAAGCAAATATCTTCCCATAACCACTAGACAGAATCATTCTCAGAAACTCCTTTATGACGTATGCACTCACCTAACAGAGAAGAACCTTCCTTTTGACAGAGCAGTTTTGATACACTCTTTTTGTAGAATCTGCAAGTGGATATTGGGATAGCTGTGAAGATTTCGTTGGAAACGGGAATATCTTCCTATAAAATCTAGACAGAAGCATTCTCAGAAACAGCTCTGTGATGTCTGCATTCAAGTCACAGAGTTGAACATTGCCTTTCATAGAGCAGGTTTGAAACGCTCTTTTTGTAGTATATGGAAGTGGACGTTTCGGACGGTTTGAGGCCCATGGTGATAAAGGGAATAACTTCCCCTACAAGCTAGAAAGAAGCATTCTGTGAAACTTGTTTGTGATGTGTGTACTCAACTAACAGAGTTGAACCTTTCTTTTCACAGAGCAGTTTTGAAACACTCTTTTTGTAGAATCTGCGAGGGGATATTTGGATAGATTTCAGGATTTCGTTGGAAACGGGAATATCTTCATATAAAATCTCTACAGAAGCATTCTCAGAAACTTCTTTGTGATATGTGCATTCAAGTCACAGAGTTGAATATTCCCTTTCACAGTGTAGGTTTGAAACACTCTTTTTGTAGTATCTGGATGTGGACATTTGGAGCGCCTTGACGCCTACGGTGAAAAGGGAAATATCTTCCCATAAAAACTAGACAGAAGCAATCTCAGAATCTTCTTTGGGATATATGCACGCAGCTAACAGAGTTGAACATTTCTATTGACAGAGCAGTTTTGAAACAGTCGTTCTGTGGAATCTGCAAGTGGATATTTCGATAGCTTGGAGGATTTCGTTGGAAACGGGATTACGTATCAAAAGTACACAGCAGCATCCTCAGAAACTTCTTTGTGATGTGTGCATTCAAGTGACAGAGTTGAACATTCCCTTTCGTACAGCAGTTTTGAAACACTCTTTCTGTAGTATCTGGAAGTGAACATTAGGACAGCTTTCAGCTCTATGGTGAGAAAGGAAATATCTTCAAATAAAAACTAGACAGAAGCATTCTCATAAACTTGTTTGTGATGTGTGAACTCAGCTAACAGAGGTGGATCTTTCTCTTGATAGAGCAGTTCTGAAAAACACTTTTTGTTGAATCTGCAAGTGGACATTTGGATAGATTTGAAGATTTCGTTGGAAACGGGAATATCTTCATATCAAATCTAGACAGAAGCATTCTCAGAAACGTCTTTGTGATGTTTGCATTCAACTCATAGAGTTGAACATTCCGTTTCATAGAGCAGCTTTGAGGCACTCTTTTTGTAGTATGTGCAAGTGGATATTTGGAGCGCTCTGAGGCCTACGGTGAAAAAGCAAATATCTTCCCATAACCACTAGACAGAAACATTCTCAGAAACTCCTTTATGACGTATGCACTCACCTAACAGAGAAGAACCTTCCTTTTGACAGAACAGTTTTGATACACTCTTTTTGTAGAATCTGCAAGTGGATATTTGGATAGCTGTGAAGATTTCGTTGGAAACGGGAATATCTTCCTATAAAATCTAGACAGAAGCATTCTCAGAAACTGCTCTGTGATGTCTGTATTCAAGTCACAGAGTTGAACATTGCCTTTCATAGAGCAGGTTTGAAACGCTCTTGTTGTAGTATATGGAAGTGGATGTTTCGGACGGTTGGAGGCCCATGGTGATAAAGGGAATATCTTCCCCTACAAGCTAGAAAGAAAGCATTCTGTGAAACTTGTTTGTGATGTGTGTACTCAACTAACAGAGTTGAACCTTTCTTTTTACAGAGCAATTTTGAAACACTCTTTTTGTAGAATCTGCGAAGGGATATTTGGATAGATTTCAGGATTTCGTTGGAAACGGGAGTATCTTCATATAAAATCTCGACAGAAGCATTCTCAGAAACTTCTTTGTGATATCTGCCTTTAAGTCACAGAGTTGAATATTCCCTTTCACAGAGTAGGTTTGAAGCACTCTTTTTGTAGTATCTGGAAGTGGACATTTGGAGCGCCTTGACACCTACGGTGAAAAGGGAAATATCTTCCCATAAAAACTAGACAGAAGCAATCTCAGAATCTTCTTTGGGATATATGCACGCAGCTAACAGAGTTGAACCTTTCTATTGACAGAGCAGTTTTGAAACAGTCTTTCTGTGGAATCTGCAAGTGGATATTTGGATAGCTTGGAGGATTTCGTTGGAAACGGGATTACGTATAAAAAGTAGATAGCAGCATCCTCAGAAATTTCTTTGTGATGTGTGCATTCAAGTCACAGATTTGAACATTCCCTTTCATACAGCAGTTTTGAAACACTCTTTCTGTAGTATCTGGAAGTGAACATTAGGACAGCTTTCAGGTCTATGGTGAGAAAGGAAATATCTTCAAATAAAAACTAGACAGAAGCATTTTCATAAACTTGTTTGTGATGTGTGAACTCAGCTAACAGAGGTGAATCTTTCTTTTGATAGAGCATCAGCTAACAGACGTGGATCTTTCTTTTGATACAGCAGTTTTGAAAAACACTTTTTGTTGAATCTGCAAGTGGACATTTGGATAGATATGAAGATTTCGTTGGAAACGGGAATATCTTCATATCAAATCTAGACAGAAGCATTCTCAGAAACGTCTTTGTGATGTTTGCATTCAACTCATAGAGTTGAACATTCCGTTTCAGAGAGCAGCTTTGAGGCACTCTTTTTGTAGTATGTGCAAGTGGATATTTGGAGCGCTCTGAGGCCTACGGTGAAAAAGCCAATATCTTCCCATAACCACTAGACAGAAACATTCTCAGAAACTCCTTTATGACGTATGCACTCACCTAACAGAGAAGAACCTTCCTTTTGACGGAGCAGTTTTGATACACTCTTTTTGCAGAATCTGCAAGTGGATATTTGGATAGCTGTGAAGATTTCGTTGGAAACGGGAATATCTTCCTATAAAATCTAGATGGAAGCATTCTCAGAAACTGCTCTGTGATGTCTGCATTCAAGTCACAGAGTTGAACATTGCCTTTCCTAGAACAGGTTTGAAACGCTCTTTTTGTAGTACATGGAAGTGGACGTTTCGGACGGTTTGAGGCCCATGGTGATAAAGGGAATATCTTCCCCTACAAGCTAGAAAGAAGCATTCTGTGAAACTTGTTTGTGATGTGTGTACTCAAACTAACAGAGTTGAACCTTTCTTTTTACAGAGCAGTTTTGAAACACTCTTTTTGTAGAATCTGCGAGGGGATATTTGGATAGATTTCAGGATTTCGTTGGAAAGGGGAATATCTTCATATAAAATCTCGACAGAAGCATTCTCAGAAACTTCTTTGTGATATGTGCATTCAAGTCACAGAGTTGAATATTCCCTTTCACAGAGTTGGTTTGAAACACTCTTTTTGTAGTATCTGGAAGTGGACATTTGGAGCGCCTTGACACCTACGGTGAAAAGGGAAATATCTTCCCATAAAAACTAGACAGAAACAATCTCAGAATCTTCTTTGGGATATATGCACGCAGCTAACAGAGTTGAACCTTTCTATTGACAGAGCAGTTTTGAAACAGTCTTTCTGTGGAATCTGCAAGTGGATATTTGGATAGCTTGGAGGATTTCGTTGGAAACGGGATTACGTATAAAAAGTAGACAGCAGCATCCTCAGAAACTTCTTTGTGATGTGTGCATTCAAGTCACAGAGTTGAACAATCCCTTTCGTACAGCAGTTTTGAAATACTCTTTCTGTAGTAACTGGAAGTGAACATTAGGAAAGCTTTCAGGTCTATGGTGAGAAAGGAAATATCTTCAAATAAAAACTAGACAGAAGCATTCTCATAAACTTGTTTGTGATGTCTGAACTCAGCTAACAGAGGTGGATCTTTCTTTTGATAGAGCAGTTCTGAAAAACACTTTTTGTTGAATCTGCAAGTGGACATTTGGATAGATTTGAAGATTTCGTTGGAAACGGGAATATCTTCATATCAAATCTAGACAGAAGCATTCTCAGAAACGTCTTTGTGATGTTTGCATTCAACTCATAGAGTTGAACATTCCCTTTCAGAGAGCAGCTTTGAAGCACTCTTTTTGTAGTATGTGCAAGTGGATATTTGGAGCGCTCTGAGGCCTACGGTGAAAAAGCAAATATCATCCCATAACCACTAGACGGAAACATTCTCAGAAACTCCTTTATGACCTATGCACTCACCTAAAAGAGAAGAACCTTCCTTTTGACAGAGCAGTTTTGATACACTCTTTTTGTAGAATCTGCAAGTGGATATTTGGATAGCTGTGAAGATTTCGTTGGAAACGGGAATATCTTCCTATAAAATCTAGACAGAAGCATTCTCAGAAACTGCTCTGTGATGTCTGCATTCAAGTCACAGAGTTGAACATTGCCTTTCATAGAGCACGTTTGAAACGCTCTTTTTGTAGTATATGGAAGTAGACGTTTCGGACGGTTTGAGGCCCATAGTGATAAAGGGAATATCTTCCCCTACAAGATAGAAAGAAGCATTCTGTGAAACTTCTTTGTGATGTGTGTACTCAACTAACAGAGTTGAACCTTTCTTTTTACAGAGCAGTTTTGAAACACTCTTTTTGTAGAATCTGCGAGGGGATATTTGGATAGATTTCAGGATTTCGTTGGAAACGGGAATATCTTCATATAAAATCTCGACAGAAGCATTCTCAGAAACTTCTTTGTGATATCTGCATTCAAGTCACAGAGTTGAATATTCCCTTTCACAGAGTAGGTTTGAAACACTCTTTTTGTAATATCTGGAAGTGGACATTTGGAGCGCCTTGACGCCTACGGTGAAAAGGGAAATATCTTCCCATAAAAACTAGACAGAAGCAATCTCAGAATCTTCTTTGGGATATATGCACGCAGCTAACAGAGTTGAACCTTTCTATTGACAGAGCAGTTTTGAAACAGTCTTTCTGTGGAATCTGCAAGTGGATATTTGGATAGCTTGGAGGATTTCGTTGGAAACGGGATTACGCATAAAAAGTAGACAGCAGCATCCTCAGAAACTTCTTTGTGATGTGTGCATTCAAGTCACAGAGTTGAACATTCCCTTTCGTACAGCAGTTTTGAAACACTCTTTCTGTAGTATCTGGAAGTGAACATTAGGACAGCTTTCAGGTCTATGGTGAGAAAGGAAATATCTTCAAATAAAAACTATACAGAAGCATTCTCATAAACTTGTTTGTGATGTGTGAACTCAGCTAAGAGACGTGGATCTTTCTTTTGATAGAGCAGTTCTGAAAAACACGTTTTGTTGAATCTGCAAGTGGACATTTGGATAGATTTGAAGATTTCGTGGGAACGGGAATATCTTCATATCAAATCTAGACAGAAGCATTCTCAGAAACGTCTTTGTGATGTTTGCATTCAACCCATAGAGTTGAACATTCCGTTTCAGAGAGCAGCTTTGAAGCGCTCTTTTTGTAGTATGTGCAAGGGGATATTTGGAGCGCTCTGAGGCCTAAGGTGAAAAAGCAAATATCTTCCCATAACCACTAGACAGAAACATTCTCAGAAACTTCTTTATGACGTATGTACTCAACTAGCAGAGAAGAACTTTCCTTTTGACAGAGCATTTTTGATACACTCTTTTTGTACTATCTGCAAGTGGATATTTGTATAGCTGTGAAGATTTCGTTGGAAACGGGAATATCTTCCTATAAAGTCTGGACAGAAGCATTCTCAGAAACTGCTCTGTGATGTCTGCATTCAAGTCACAGAGTTGAACATTGCCTTTCATAGAGCAGGTTTCAAACACTGTTTTTTTAGTATATGGAAGTGGACGTTTTGGACGGTTTGAGGCCCATGGTGATAAAGGAAATATCTTCCCCTACAAGCTAGAAAGAAGCATTCTGTGAAACTTGTTTGTGATGTGTGTACTCAACTAACAGAGTTGAACCTTTCTTTTTACAGAGCAGTTTTGAAACACTCTTTTTGTAGAATCTGCGAGGGCATATTTGGATAGATTTCAGGATTTCGTTGGAAACGGGAATATCTACATATAAAATCTCGACAGAAGCATTCTCAGAAACTTCTTTGTGATATCTGCCTTCAAGTCACAGAGTTGAATATTCCCTTTCACAGAGTAGGTTTGAAACACTCTTTTTGTAGTATCTGGAAGTGGACATTTGGAGCGCCTTGACGCCTAAGGTGAAAAGGGAAATATCTTCCCATAAAAACTAGACAGAAGCAATCTCACAATCTTCTTTGGGATATATGCACGCAGCTAACAGAGTTGAACCTTTCTATTGACAGAGCAGTTTTGAAACAGTCTTTCTGTGGAATCTGCAAGTGGATATTTGGATAGCTTGGAGGATTTCGTTGGAAACGGGATTACGTATAAAAAGTAGACAGCAGCATCGTCAGAAACTACTTTGTGATGTGTGCATTCAAGTCACAGAGTTGAACATTCCCTTTCGTACAGCAGTTTTGAAACACTCTTTCTGTAGTATCTGGAAGTGAACATTAGGACAGCTTGCAGGTCTATGGTGAGAAGGGAAATATCTTCAAATAAAAACTAGACAGAAGCATTCTCATAAACTTGTTTGTGATGTGTGAACTCAGCTAACCGAGATGGATCTTTCTTTTGATAGAGCAGTTCTGAAAAACACTTTTTGTTGAATCTGCAAGTGGACATTTGGATAGATTTGAAGATTTCGTTGGAAACGGGAATATCTTCATATCAAATCTAGACAGAAGCATTCTCGGAAACGTCTTTGTGATGTTTGCATTCAACTCATAGAGTTGAACATTCCGTTTCAGAGAGCAGCTTTGAGGCACTCATTTTGTAGTATGTGCAAGTGGATATTTGGAGCGCTCTGAGGCCTTCGGTGAAAAAGCAAATATCTTCCCATAACCACTAGACAGAAACATTCTCAGAAACTTCTTTATGACGTATGTACTCAACTAGCAGAGAAGAACTTTCCTTTTGACAGAGCAGTTTTGATACACTCTTTTTGTAGAATCTGCAAGTGGATATTTGGATATCTGTGAAGATTTCGCTGGAAACGGGAATATCTTCCTATAAAATCTAGACAGAAGCATTCTCAGAAACTGCTCTGTGATGTCTGCATTCAAGTCACGGAGTTGAACATTGCCTTTCATAGAGCAGGTTTGAAACGCTCTTTTTGTAGTATATGGAAGTGGACGTTTCGGACGGTTTGAGGCCCATGGTGATAAAGGGAATATCTTCCCCTACAAGCTAGAAAGAAGCATTCTGTGAAACTTGTTTGTGATGTGTGTACTCAACTAACAATAGTTGAACCTTTCTTTTTACAGAGCAGTTTTGAAACACTCTTTTTGTAGAATCTGCGAGGGGATATTTGGATACATTTCAGCATTTCGTTGGAAACGGGAATATCTTCATATAAAATCTCGACAGAAGCATTCTCAGAAACTTCTTTGGGATATCTGCATTCAAGTCACAGAGTTGAATATTCCCTTTCACAGAGTAGGTTTGAAACACTCTTTTTGTAGTATCTGGAAGTGGACATTTGGAGCGCATTGACGCCTACAGTGAAAAAGGAAATATCTTCCCATAAAAACTAGACAGAAGCAATCTCAGAATCTTCTTTGGGATATATGCACGCAGCTAACAGAGTTGAACCTTTCTATTGACAGAGCAGTTTTGAAACAGTCTTTCTCTGGAATCTGCAAGTGGATATTTGGATAGCTTGGAGGATTTCGTTGGAAACAGGATTACGTATAAAAAGTAGACAGCAGCATTCTCAGAAAATTCTTTGTGATGTGTGCATTCAAGTCACAGAGTTGAACATTCCCTTTCGTACAGCAGTTTTGAAACACTCTTTCTGTAGTATCTGGAAGTGAACATTAGGAGAGCTTCCAGGTCTATGGTGAGAAAGGATATATCTTCAAATAAAAACTAGACAGAAGCATTCTCATAAACTTGTTTGTGATGTGTGAACTCAGCTAACAGACGTGGATCTTTCCTTTGATACAGCAGTTTTGAAAAACACTTTTTGTTGAATCTGCAAGTGGACATTTGGATAGATTTGAAGATTTCGTTGGAAACGGGAATATCTTCATATCAAATCTAGACAGAAGCATTCTCAGAAACGTCTTTCTGATGTTTGCATTCAACTCATAGAGTTGAACATTCCCTTTCAGAGAGCAGCTTTGAAGCACTCTTTTTGTAGTATGTGCAAGGGGATATTTGGAGCGCTCTGAGGCCTACGGTGAAAAAGCAAATATCTTCCCATAACCACTAGACAGAAACATTCTCAGAAACTCCTGTATGACGTATGCACTCACCTAACAGAGAAGAACCTTCCTTTTGACAGAGCAGTTTTGATACACTCTTTTTGTAGAATATGCAAGTGGATATTTGGATAGCTGTGAAGATTTCTTTGGAAACGGGAATATCTTCCTATAAAATCTAGACAGAAGCATTCTCAGAAACTGCTCTTTGATGTCTGCATTCAAGTCACAGAGTTGAACATTGCCTTTCATAGAGCAGGTTTGAAACGCTCTTTTTGTAGTATATGGAAGTGGATGTTTCGGACGGTTGGAGGCCCATGGTGATAAAGGGAATATCTTCCCCTACAAGCTAGAAAGAAGCATTGTGTGAAACTTGTTTGTGATGTGTGTACTCAACTAACAGAGTTGAACCTTTCTTTTTACAGAGCAGTTTTGAAACACTCTTTTTGTAGAATCTGCGAGGGGATATTTGGATACATTTCAGGATTTCGTTGGAAACGGGAATACCTTCATATAAAATCTCGACAGAAGCATTCTCAGAAACTTCTTTGTGATATCTGCCTTCAAGTCACAGAGTTGAATATTCCCTTTCACAGAGTAGGTTTGAAACACTCTTTTTGTAGTATCTGGAAGTGGACATTTGGAGCGCCTTGACGCCTACGGTGAAAAGGGAAATATCTTCCCATAAAAACTAGACAGAAGCAATCTCAGAATCTTCTTTGGGATATATGCACGCAGCTAACAAAGTTGAACCTTTCTATTGACAGAGCAGTTTTGAAACAGTCTTTCTGTGGAATCTGCAAGTGGATATTTGGATAGCTTGGAGGATTTCGTTGGAAACGGGATTACGTATAAAAAGTAGACAGCAGCATCCTCAGAAACTTCTTTGTGATGTGTGCATTCAAGTCACAGAGTTGAACATTCCCTTTCGTACAGCAGTTTTGAAACACTCTTTCTGTACTATCTGGAAGTGAACATTAGGACAGCTTTCAGCTCTATGGTGAGAAAGGAAATATCTTCAAATAAAAACTAGACAGAAGCATTCTGATAAACTTGTTTGTGAAGTGTGATCTCAGCTAACAGAGGTGGATCTTTCTTTTGATAGAGCAGTTCTGAAAAACACTTTGTTGAATCTGCAAGTGGACATTTGGATAGATTTGAAGATTTCGTTGGAAACGGGAATATCTTCATATCAAATCTAGACAGAAGTATTCTCAGAAACGTCTTTGTGATGTTTGCATTCAACTCATAGAGTTGAACATTCCCTTTCAGAGAGCAGCTTTGAAGCACTCTTTTTGTAGTATGTGCAAGTGGATATTTGGAGCGCTCTGAGGCCTACGGTGAAAAAGCAAATATCTTCCCATAACCACTAGACAGAAACATTCTCAGAAACTCCTTTATGACGTATGCACTCACCTAACAGAAAAGAACCTTCCTTTTGACAGAGCAGTTTTGATACACTCTTTTTGTAGAATCTACAAGTGGATATTTGGATAGCTGTGAAGATTTCGTTGGAAACGGGAATATCTTCCTTTAAAATCTAGACAGAAGCATTCTCAGAAACTGCTCTGTGATGTCTGTATTCAAGTCACAGAGTTGAACATTGCCTTTCATAGAGCAGGTTTGAAACGCTCTTTTTGTAGTATATGGAAGTGGATGTTTCGGACGGTTGGAGGCCCATGGTGATAAACGGAATATCTTCCCCTACAAGCTAGAAAGAAGCATTCTGTGAAACTTGTTTGTGATGTGTGTACTCAACTAACAGAGTTGAACATTTCTTTTTACAGAGCAGTTTTGAAACACTCTTTTTGTAGAATCTGCGAGGGGATATTAGGATAGATTTCAGGATTTCGTTGGAAACGGGAATATCTTCATATAAAATCTCGACAGAAGCATTCTCAGAAACTTCTTTGTGATATGTGCATTCAAGTCACAGAGTTGAATATTCCCTTTCACAGAGTAGGTTTGAAACACTCTTTTTGTAGTATCTGGAAGTGGACATTTGGAGCGCCTTGACACCTACGGTCAAAAGGGAAATATCTTCCCATAAAAACTAGACAGAAGCAATCTCAGAATCTTCTTTGGGATATATGCACACAGCTAACAGAGTTGAACCTTTCTATTGACAGAGCAGTTTTGAAACAGTCTTTCTGTGGAATCTGCAAGTGGATATTTGGATAGCTTGGAGGATTTCGTTGGAAACGGGATTAAGTATAAAAAGTAGACAGCAGCATCCTCAGAAACTTCTTTGTGATGTGTGCATTCAAGTCACAGAGTTGAACATTCCCTTTCGTACAGCAGTTTTGAAACGCTCTTTCTGTAGTATCTGGAAGTGAACATTAGGAGAGCTTTCAGGTCTATGTTGAGAAAGGAAATATCTTCAAATAAAAACTAGACAGAAGCATTCTCATAAACTTGTTTGTGATGTGTGAACTCAGCTAACAGAGGTGGATCTTTCTTTTGATAGAGCAGTTCTGAAAAACACTTTTGTTTAATCTGCAAGTGGACATTTGGATAGATTTGAAGATTTCGTTGGAAACGGGAATATCTTCATATCAAATCTAGACAGAAGCATTCTCAGAAACGTCTTTGTGATGTTTGCATTCAACTCATAGAGTTGAACATTCCGTTTCAGAGAGCAGCTTTGAGGCACTCTTTTTGTAGTATGTGCAAGTGGATATTTGGAGCGCTCTGAGGCCTGCGGTGAAAAAGCAAATATCTTCCCATAACCACTAGACAGAAACATTCTCAGAAACTCCTTTATGACGTATGCACTCACCTAACAGAGAAGAACCTTCCTTTTGACAGAGCAGTTTTGATACACTCTTTTTGTAGAATCTGCAAGTGGATATTTGGATAGCTGTGAAGATTTCGTTGGAAACGGGAATACCTTCCTATAAAATCTAGACAGAAGCATTCTCAGAAACTGCTCTGTGATGTCTGCATTCAAGTCACAGAGTTGAACATTGCCTTTCCTAGAGCAGGTTTGAAACGCTCTTTTTGTAGAATATGGAAGTGGATGTTTCGGACGGTTGGAGGCCCATGGTGATAAAGGGAAAATCTTCCCCTACAAGCTAGAAAGAAGCATTGTGTGAAACTTGTTTGTGATGTGTGTACTCAACTAACAGAGTTGAACCTTTCTTTTTACAGAGCAGTTTTGAAACACTCTTTTTGTAGAATCTGCAAGGGGATATTTGGATAGATTTCAGGGATTTCGTTGGAAACGGGAATATCTTCATATAAAATCTCGACAGAAGCATTCTCAGAAACTTCTTTGTGATATCTGCATTCCAGTCACAGAGTTGAATATTCCCTTTCACAGAGTAGGTTTGAAACACTCTTTTTATAGTATCTGGAATTGGACATTTGGAGCGCCTTGACGCCTACGGTGAAAAGGGAAATATCTTCCGATAAAAACTAGACAGAAGAAATCTCAGAATCTTCTTTGGGATATATGCACGCAGCTAACAGAGTTGAACCTTTCTATTGACAGAGCAGTTTTGAAACAGTCTTTCTGTGGAATCTGCAAGTGGATATTTGGATAACTTGGAGGATTTCGTTGGAAACGGGATTACGTATAAAAAGTAGACAGCAGCATCCTCAGAAACATCCTTGTGATGTGTGCATTCAAGTCACAGAGTTGAACATTCCCTTTCGTACAGCAGTTTTGAAACACTCTTTCTGTAGTATCTGTAAGTGAACTTTAGGACAGCTTTCAGGTCTATAGTGAGAAAGGATATATCTTCAAATAAAAACTAGACAGAAGCATACTCATAAACTTGTTCGTGATGTGTGAACTCAGCTAAGAGCCGTGGATCTTTCTTTTGATAGAGCAGTTCTGAAAAACACTTTTTGTTGAATCTGCAAGTGGACATTTGCATAGATTTGAAGATTTCTTTGGAAACGGGAATATCTTCATATCAAATCTAGACAGAAGCATTCTCAGAAACGTCTTTGTGGTGTTTGCATTCAACTCATAGAGTTGAACATTCCGTTTCAGAGAGCAGCTTTGAAGCACTCTTTTTGTAGTATGTGCAAGTGGATATTTGGAGCGCTCTGAGGCCTACGGGGAAAAAGCAAATATCTTCCCATAACCACTAGACTGAAACATTCTCAGAAACTCCTTTATGACGTATGCACTCACCTAACAGAGAAGAACCTTCCTTTTGACAGAGCAGTTTTGATACACTCTTTTTGTAGAATCTGCAAGTGGATATTAGGATAGCTGTGAAGATTTCGTTGGAAACGGGAATATCTTCCTATAAAATCTAGACAGAAGCATTCTCAGAAATTGCTCTGTGATGTCTTCATTCAAGTCACAGAGTTGAACATTGCCTTTCATAGAGCAGGTTTGAAACACTCTTTTTTTAGTATATGGAAGTGGACGTTTCGGACGGTTTGAGGCCCATGGTGATAAAGGGAATATCTTCCCCTACAAGCTAGAAAGAATCATTCTGTGAAACTTGTTTGTGATGTGTGTACTCAACTAACAGAGTTGAACCTTTCTTTTTACAGAGCAGTTTTGAAACACTCTTTTTGTAGAATCTGCGAGGGGATATTTGGAGAGATTTCAGGATTTCGTTGGAAACGGGAATATCTTCATATAAAATCTCGACAGAAGCATTCTCAGAAACATCTTTGTGATATGTGCATTCAAGTCACAGAGTTGAATATTCCCTTTCACAGAGTAGGTTTGAAACACTCTTTTTGTAGTATCTGGAAGTGGACATTTGGAGCGCCTTGACGCCTACGGTGAAAAGGGAAATATCTTCCCATAAAAACTAGACAGAAGCAATCTCAGAATCTTCTTTGGGATATATGCACGCAGCTAACAGAGTTGAACCTTTCTTTTGACAGAGCAGTTTTGAAACAGTCTTTCTGTGGAATCTGCAAGTGGATATTTGGATAGCTTGGAGGATTTCGTTGGAAACGGTATTACGTATAAAAAGTAGACAGCCATCCTCAGAAACTTCTTTGTGATGTGTGCATTCAAGTCACAGAGTTGAACATTCCCTTTCGTACAGCAGTTTTGAAACACTCTTTCTGTAGTATCTGGAAGTGAACATTAGGACAGCTTTCAGGTCTATGGTGAGAAAGGAAATATCTTCAAATAAAAACTAGACAGAAGCATTCTCATAAACTTGTTTGTGATGTGTGAACTCAGCTAAGAGACGTGGATCTTTCTTTTGATAGAGCAGGTCTGAAAAACACGTTTTGTTGAATCTGCAAGTGGACATTTGGATAGATTTGAAGATTTCGTTGGAAACGGGAATAACTTCATATCAAATCTAGACAGAAGCATTCTCAGAAACGTCTTTGTGATGTTTGCATTCAACTCATAGAGTTGAACATTCCCTTTTAGAGAGCAGCTTTGAAGCACTCTTTTTGTAGTATGTGCAAGTGGATATTTGGAGCGCTCTGAGGTCTACGGTGAAAAAGCAAATATCTTCCCATAACCACTAGACAGAAACATTCTCAGAAACTCCTTTATGACGTATGTACTCAACTAACAGAGAAGAACCTTCCTTTTGACAGAGCAGTTTTGATACACTCTTTTTGTAGAATCTGCAAGTGGATATTTGGATAGCTGTGAAGATTTCGTTGGAAAAGGGAATATCTTCCTATAAAATCTAGACAGAAGCATTCTCAGAAACTGCTCTGTGATGTCTGCATTCAAGTCACACAGTTGAACATTGCCTTTCATAGAGCAGGTTTGAAACGCTCTTTTTGTAGTATATGGAAGTGGACGTTTCGGACGGTTTGAGGCCCATGGTGATAAAGGAAATATCTTCCCCTACAAGCTAGAAAGAAGCATTGTGTGAAACTTGTTTGTGATGTGTGTACTCAACTAACAGAGTTGAACCTTTCTTTTTACAGAGCAGTTTTGAAACACTCTTTTGTAGAATCTGCAAGGGGATATTTGGATACATTTCAGGATTTCGTTGGAAACGGGAATATCTTCATATAAAATCTCGACAGAAGCATTCTCAGAAGCTTCTTTGTGATATGTGCATTCAAGTCACAGACTTGAATATTCCCTTTCACAGAGTAGGTTTGAAACATTCTTTTTGTAGTATCTGGAAGTGGACATTTGGAGCGCCTTGACGCCTACGGTGAAAAGGGAAATATCTTCTCATAAAAAGTAGACACAAGCAATCTCAGAATCTCCTTTGGGATATATGCACGCAGCTAACAGAGTTGAACCTTTCTATTGACAGAGCAGTTTTGAAACAGTCTTTCTGTGGAATCTGCAATTGGATATTTGGATAGCTTGGAGGATTTCGTTGGAAACGGGATTTCGTATAAAAAGTAGACAGCAGCATCCTCAGAAACTTCTTTGTGATGTGTGCATTCAAGTCACAGGGTTGAACATTCCCTTTCGTACAACAGTTTTGAAACACTCTTTCTGTAGTATCTGAAGTGAACAATAGGACAGCTTTCAGGTCTATGATGAGAAAGGAAATATCTTCAAATAAAAACTAGACAGAAGCATTCTCATAAACTTGTTTGTGATGTGTGAACTCAGCTAACAGAGGTGGATCTTTCTTTTGATACAGCAGTTTTGAAAAACACTTTTTGTTGAATCTGCAAGTGGACATTTGGATAGATATGAAGATTTCGTTGGAAACGGGAATATCTTCATATCAAATCTAGACAGAAGCATTCTCAGAAACGTCTTTGTGATGTTTGCATTCAACTCATAGAGTTGAACATTCCGTTTCAGAGAGCAGCTGTGAGGCACTCTTTTTGTAGTATGTGCAAGTGGATATTTGGAGCGCTCTGAGGCCTACGGTGAAAAAGCAAATATCTTCCCATAACCACTAGACAGAAACATTCTCAGAAACTCCTTTATGACGTATGCACTCACCTAACAGAGAAGAACCTTCCTTTTGACAGAGCAGTTTTGATACACTCTTTTTGTAGAATCTGCAAGTGGATATTTGGATAGCTGCGAAGATTTCGTTGGAAACGGGAATATCTTCCTATAAAATCTAGACAGAAGCATTCTCAGACACTGCTCTGCGATGTCTGCATTCAAGTCACAGAGTTGAACATTGCCTTTCATAGAGCAGGTTTGAAACGCTCTTTTTGTAGTATATGGAAGTGGACTTATCGGACGGTTTGAGGCCCATGGTGATAAAGGGAATATCTTCCCCTACAAGCTAGAAAGAAGCATTCTGTGAAACTTGTTTGTGATGTGTGTACTCAACTAACAGAGTTGAACCTTTCTTTTTACAGAGCAGTTTTGAAACACTCTTTTTGTAGAATCTGCGAGGGGATATTTGGATACATTTCAGCATTTAGTTGGAAACGGGAATATCTTCATATAAAATCTCGACAGAAGCATTCTCAGAAACTTCTTTGTGATATGTGCATTCAAGTCACAGAGTTGAATGTTCCCTTTCACAGAGTAGGTTTGAAACACTCTTTTTGTAGTATCTGGAAGAGGACATTTGGAGCGCCTTGACGCGTACGGTGAAAAGGGAAATATCTTCTCATAAAAAGTAGACAGAAGCAATCTCAGAATCTTCTTTGGGATATATGCACGCAGCTAACAGAGTTGAACCTTTCTATTGACAGAGCAGTTTTGAAACAGTCTTTCTGTGGAATCTGCAAGTGGATATGTGGATAGATTGGAGGATTTCGTTGGAAACGGGATTACGTATAAAAATTAGACAGCAGCATCCTCAGAAACTTCTTTGTGATGTGTGCATTCAAGTCACAGAGTTGAACTTCCCTTTCGTACAGCAGTTTTGAAACACTCTTTCTGTAGTATCTGGAAGTGAACATTAGGACAGCTTTCAGGTCTATGGTGAGAAAGGAAATATCTTCAAATAAAAACTAGACAGAAGCATTCTCATAAACTTGTTTGTGATGTGTGAACTCCGCTAACAGAGGTGGATCTTTCTTTTGATAGAGCAGTTCTGAAAAACACTTTTTGTTGAATCTGCAAGTGGACATTTGGATAGATTTGAAGATTTCGTTGGAAACGGGAATATCTTCATATCAAATCTAGACAGACGCATTCTCAGAAACGTCTTTGTGATGTTTACATTCAACTCATAGAGTTGAACATTCCCTTTCAGAGAGCAGCTTTGAAGCACTCTTTTTGTAGCATGTGCAAGTGGACATTTGGAGCGCTCTGAGGCCTACGGGGAAAAAGCAAATATCTTCCCATAACCACTAGACAGAAACATTCTCAGAAACTTCTTTATGACGTATGTACTCAACTAGCAGAGAAGAACTGTCCTCTTGACAGAGCATTTTTGATACACTCTTTTTGTAGTATCTGCAAGTGGATATTTGGATAGCTGTGAAGATTTCGTTGGAATCGGGAATATCTTCCTATAAAGTCCGGACAGAAGCATTCTCAGAAACTGCTCTGTGATGTTTGCTTTCATGTCACAGAGTTGAACATTGCCTTTCATAGAGCAGGTTTCAAGCACTCTTTTTTTAGTATATGGAAGTGGACGTTTCGGACGGTTTGAGGCCCATGGTGATAAAGGAAATATCTTCCCCTAGAAGCTAGAAAGAAGCATTCTGTGAAACTTGTTTGTGATGTGTGTACTCAACTAACAGAGTTGAACCTTTCTTTTTACAGAGCACTTTTGAAACACTCTTTTTGTAGAATCTGCGAGGGGATATTTGGATAGATTTCAGGATTTCGTTGGAAACGGGAATATCTTCATATAAAATCTCGACAGAAGCATTCTCAGAAACTTCTTTGTGATATCTGCATTCAAGTCACAGAGTTGAATATTCCCTTTCACAGAGTAGGTTTGAAACACTCTTTTTGTAGTATCTGGAAGTGGACATTTGGAGCGCCTTGACGCCTACAGTGAAAAGGGAAATATCTTCCAATAAAAACTAGACAGAAAGCAATCTCAGAATCTTCTTTGGGATATATGCACGCAGCTAACAGAGTTGAACCTTTCTATTGACAGAGCAGTTTTGAAACAGTCTTTCTGTGGAATCTGCAAGTGGATATTTGGATAGCTTGGAGGATTTCGTTGGAAACGGGATTACGTATAAAAAGTAGACAGAGCATCCTCAGAAAATTCTTTGTGATGTGTGCATTCAAGTCACAGAGTTGAACATTCCCTTTCGTACAGCAGTTTTGAAACACTCTTTCTGTAGTATCTGGAAGTGAACATTAGGACAGCTTTCAGCTCTATGGTGAGAAAGGAAATATCTTCAAATAAAAACTAGACAGAAGCATTCTCATAAACTTGTTTGTGATGTCTGAACTCAGCTAACAGACGTGGATCGTTCTTTTGATACAGCAGTTTTGAAAAACACTTTTTGTTGAATCTGCAAGTGGACATTTGGATAGATTTGAAGATTTCGTTGGAAACGGGAATATCTTCATATCAAATCTAGACAGAAGCATTCTCAGAAACGTCGTTGTGATGTTTGCATTCAACTCATAGAGTTGAACATTCCGATTCAGAGAGCAGCTTTGAGGCACTCTTTTTGTAGTATGTGCAAGTGGATATTTGGAGCGCTCTGAGGCCTACGGTGAAAAAGCAAATATCTTCCCATAACCACTAGACAGAAACATTCTCAGAAACTCCTTTATGACGTATGCACTCACCTAACAGAGAAGAACCTTCCTTTTGACAGAGCAGTTTTGATACACTCTTTTTGTAGAGTCTGCAAGTGGATATTTGGATAGCTGTGAAGATTTCGTTGGAAACGGGAATATCTTCCTATAAAATCTAGACAGAAGCATTCTCAGAAACTGCTCTGTGATGTCTGTATTCAAGTCACAGAGTTGAACATTGCCTTTCATAGAGCAGGTTTGAAACGCTCTTTTTGTAGTATATGTAAGTGGATGTTTCGGACGGTTGGAGGCCCATGGTGATAAAGGGAATATCTTCCCCTACAAGCTAGAAAGAAGCATTCTGTGAAACTTGTTTGTGATGTGTGTACTCAACTAACAGAGTTGAACCTTTCTTTTTACAGAGCAGTTTTGAAACACTCTTTTTGTAGAATCTGCGAGGGGATATTTGGAGAGATTTCAGGATTTCGTTGGAACCGGGAATATCTTCATATAAAATCTCGACAGAAGCATTCTCAGAAACTTCTTTGTGATATCTGCATTCAAGTCACAGAGTTGAATATTCCGTTTCACAGAGTAGGTTTGAAACACTCTTTTTGTAGTATCTGGAAGTGGACATTTGGAGCGCCTTGACACCTACGGTGAAAAGGGAAATATCTTCCCATAAAAACTAGACAGAAGCAATCTCAGAATCTTCTTTGGGATATATGCACGCAGCTAACAGAGTTGAACCTTTCTATTGACAGAGCAGTTTTGATACAGTCTTTCTGTGGAATCTGCAAGTGGATATTTGGATAGCTTGGAGGATTTCGTTGGAAACGGGATTACGTATAAAAAGTAGACAGCAGCATCCTCAGAAACTTCTTTGTGATGTGTGCATTCAAGTCACAGAGTTGAACATTCCCTTTCGTACAGCAGTTTTGAAACACTCTTTCTGTAGTATCTGGAAGTGAACATTAGGACAGCTTTCAGGTCTCTGGTGAGAAAGGAAATATCTTCAAATAAAAACTAGACAGAAGCATTCTCATAAACTTGTTTGTGATGTGTGAACTCAGCTAACAGAGGTGGATCTTTCTTTTGATAGAGCAGTTCTGAAAAACACGTTTTGTTGAATCTGCAAGTGGACATTTGGATAGATTTGAAGATTTCTTTGGAAACGGGAATATCGTCATATCAAATCTAGACAGAAGCATTCTCAGAAACGTCTTTGTCATGTTTGCATTCAACTCATAGAGTTGAACATTCCCTTTCAGAGAGCAGCTTTGAAACACTCTTTTTGTAGTATGTGCAAGTGGATATTTGGAGCGCTCTGAGGCCTACGGTGAAAAAGCAAATATCTTCCCATAACCACTAGACAGAAACATTCTCAGAAACTCCTTTATGACGTATGCACTCACCTAACAGAGAAGAACCTTCCTTTTGACAGAGCAGTTTTGATACACTCTTTTTGTAGAATCTGCAAGTGGATATTTCGATAGCTGTGAAGATTTTGTTGGAAACGGGAATATCTTCCTATAAAATCTAGACAGAAGCATTCTCAGAAACTGCTCTGTGATGTCTGCATTCAAGTCACAGAGTTGAACATTGCCTTTCATAGAGCAGGTTTGAAACGCTCTTTTTGTAGTATATGGAAGTGGACGTTTCGGACGGTTTGAGGCCCATGGTGATAAGGGGAATATCATTCCCCTACAAGCTAGAAAGAAGCATTCTGTGAAACTTGTGATGTGTGTACTCAACTAACAGAGTTGAACCTTTCTTTTTACAGAGCAGTTTTGAAACACTCTTTTTGTAGAATCTGCGAGGGGATATTTGGATAGATTTCAGGATTTCGTTGGAAACGGGAATATCTTCATATAAAATCTCGACAGAAGCATTCTCAGAAACTTCTTTGGAATATGTGTATTCAAGTCACAGAGTTGAATACTCCCTTTCACAGAGTAGGTTTGAAACACTCTTTTTGTAGTATCTGGAAGTGGACATTTTGAGCGCCTTGACGCCTACGGTGAAAAGGGAAATATCTTCCCATAAAAACTAGACAGAAGCAATCTCAGAATCTTCTTTGGGATATATGCACGCAGCTAACAGAGTTGAACCTTTCTATTGACAGAGCAGTTTTGAAACAGTCTTTCTGTGGAATCTGGAAGTGGATATTTGGATAGCTTGGAGGATTTCGTTGGAAACGGGATTAAGTATAAAAAGTAGACAGCAGCATCCTCAGAAACTTCTTTGTGATGTGTGCATTCAAGTCACAGAGTTGAACATTCCCTTTCGTACAGCAGTTTTGAAACACTCTTTCTGTAGTATCTGGAAGTGAACATTAGGACAGCTTTCAGCTCTATGGTGAGAAAGGAAATATCTTTAAATAAAAACGAGACAGAAGCATTCTCATAAACTTTTTGTGATGTGTGAACTCAGCTAACAGAGGTGGATCTTTCTTTTGATAGAGAAGTACTGAAAAACACTTTTTGTTGAATCTGCAAGTGGACATTTGGATAGATTTGAAGATTTCGTTGGAAACGGGAATATCTTCATATCAAATCTAGACAGAAGCATTCTCGGAAACGTCTTTGTCATGTTTGCATTCAACTCATAGAGTTGAACATTCCGTTTCAGAGAGCAGCTTTGAAGCACTCTTTTTGTAGTATGTGCAAGGGGATATTTGGAGCGCTCTGAGGCCTAAGGTGAAAATGCAAATATCTTCCCATAACCACTAAACAGAAACATTCTCATAAACTCCTTTATGACGTATGTACTCAACTAACAGAGAAGAACCTTCCTTTTGACAGAGCCGTTTTGATACACTCTTTTTGTAGAATCTGCAAGTGGATATTTGGATAGCTGTGAAGATTTCGTTGGAAACGGGAATATCTTCCTATAAAATCTAGACAGAAGCATTCTCAGAAAGTGCTCTGTGATGTCTGCATTCAAGTCACAGAGTTGAACATTGCCTTTCATAGAGCAGGTTTGAAACACTCTTTTTGTAGTATATGGAAGTGGACGTTTCGGACGGTTTGAGGCCCATGGTGATAATGGGAATATCTTCCCCTACAAGCTAGAAAGAAGCATTCTGTGAAACTTGTTTGTGATGTGTGTACTCAACTAACAGGGTTGAACCTTTCTTTTTACAGAGCAGTTTTGAAACACTCTTTTTGTAGAATCTGCGAGGGGATATTTGGATAGATTTCAGGATTTCATTGGAAACGGGAATATCTTCATATAAAATCTCGACAGAAGCATTCTCAGAAACTTCTTTGTGATATGTGCATTCAAGTCACAGAGTTGAATATTCCCTTTCACAGAGTAGGTTTAAAACACTCTTTTTGTAGTATCTGGAAGTGGACATTTGGAGCGCCTTGACGCCTACGGTGAAAAGGGAAATATCTTCTCATAAAAACTAGACAGAAGCAATCTCAGAATCTTCTTTGGGATATATGCACGCAGCTAATAGAGTTGAACTTTTCTATTGACAGAGCAGATTTCAAACAGTCTTTCTGTGGAATCTGCAAGTGGATATTTGGATAGCCTGGAGGATTTCGTTGGAAACGGGATTACGTATAAAAAGTAGACAGCAGCATCCTCAGAAACATCCTTGTGATGTGTGCATTCAAGTCACAGAGTTGAACATTTCCTTTCGTACAGCAGTTTTGAAACACTCTTTCTGTAGTATCTGGAAGTGAACTTTAGGAGAGCTTTCAGGTCTATAGTGAGAAAGGATATATCTTCAAATAAAAACTAGACAGAAGCATTCTCATAAACTTGTTTGTGATGTGTGAACTCAGCTAACAGAGGTGGATCTTTCTTTTGATAGAGCAGTTCTGAAAAACACTTTTTGTTGAATCTGCAAGTGTACATTTGGATAGATTTGAAGATTTCCTTGGAAACGGGAATATCTTCATATCAAATCTAGACAGAAGAATTCTCAGAAACGTCTTTGTGATGTTTGCATTCAACTCATAGAGTTGAACATTCCCTTTCAGAGAGCAGCTTTGAAGCACTCTTTTTGTAGTATGTGCAAGTGGATATTTGGAGCGCTCTGAGGCCTACGGTGAAAAATCAAATATCTTCCCATAACCACTAGACAGAAACATTCTCAGAAACTCCTTTATGACGTATGTACTCAACTAACAGAGAAGAACCTTCCTTTTGACAGAGCAGTTTTGATACACTCTTTTTGTAGAATCTGCAAGTGGATATTTGGATAGCTGTGAAGATTTTGTTGGAAACGGGAATATAAAATCTAGACAGAAGCATTCTCAGAAACTGCTCTGTGATGTCTGCATTCAAGTCACAGAGTTGAACATTGCCTTTCATAGAGCAGGTTTGAAACGCTCTTTTTCTAGTATATGGAAGTTGGACGTTTCGGACGGTTTGAGGCCCATGGTGATAAAGGGAATATCTTCCCCTACAAGCTAGAAAGAACCATTGTGTGAAACTTGTTTGTGATGTGTGTACTCAACTAACAGAGTTGAACCTTTCTTTTTACAGAGCAGTTTTGAAACACTCTTTTTGTAGAATCTGCGAGGGGATATTTGGATAGATTTCAGCATTTCGTTGGAAACGGGAATATCTTCATATAAAATCTCGACAGAAGCATTCTCAGAAACTTCTTTGTGATATGTGCATTCAAGTCACAGAGTTGAATATTCCCTTTCACAGAGTAGGTTTGAAACACTCTTTTTGTAGTATCTGGAAGTGGACATTTGGAGCGCCTTGACGCCCACGGTGAAAAGGGAAATATCTTCCCATAAAAACTAGACAGAAGCAATCTCAGAATCTTCTTTGGGATATATGCACGCAGCTAACAGAGTTGAACCTTTCTATTGACAGAGCAGTTTTGTAACAGTCTTTCTGTGGAATCTGCAAGTGGATATTTGGATAGCTTGGAGGATTTCGTTGGAAACGGGTTTACGTATAAAAAGTAGACAGCAGCATCCTCAGAAACTTCTTTGTGATGTGTGCATTCAAGTCACAGAGTTGAACATTCCCTTTCGTAGAGCAGTTTTGAAACACTCTTTCTATAGTATCTGGAAGTGAACATTAGGACAGCTTTCAGGTCTATGGTGAGAAAGGAAATATCTTCAAATAAAAATTAGACAGAAGCATTCTCATAAACTTGTTTGTGATGTGTGAACTCAGCTAACAGAGATGGATCTTTCTTTTGATAGAGCAGATCTGAAAAACACTTTTTGTTGAATCTGCAATTGGACATTTGGATAGATTTGAAGATTTCGTTGGAAACGGGAATATCTTCATATCAAATCTAGACAGAAGCATTCTCAGAAACTTCTTTGTGATGTTTGCATTCAACTCATAGAGTTGAACATTCCATTTCAGAGAGCAGCTTTGAGGCACTCTTTTTGTAGTATGTGCAAGTGGATAGTTGGAGCGCTCTGAGGCCTACGGTGAAAAAGCAAATATCTTCCCATAACCACTAGACAGAAACATTCTCAGAAACTCCTTTATGACGTATGCACTCATCTAACAGAGAAGAACCTTCCTTTTGACAGAGCAGTTTTGATACACTCTTTTTGTAGAATCTGCAAGTGGATATTTGGATAGCTGTGAAGATTTCTTTGGAAACGGGAATATCTTCCTATAAAATCTAGACAGAAGCATTCTCAGAAACTGCTCTGTGATGTCTGCATTCAAGTCACAGAGTTGAACATTGCCTTTCATAGAGCAGGTTTGAAACGCTCTTTTTGTAGTATATAAAAGTGGACGTTTCGGACGGTTTGAGGCCCATGGTGATAAAGGGAATATCTTCCCCTACAAGCTAGAAAGAAGCATTCTGTGAAACTTGTTTGTGATGTGTGTACTCAACTAACAGAGTTGAACCTTTCTTTTTACAGAGCAGTTTTGAAACACTCTTTTTGTAGAATCTGCGAGGGGATATTTGTATAGATTTCAGGATTTTGTTGGAAACGGGAATATCTTCATATAAAATCTCGACAGAAGCATTCTCAGAAACTTCTTTGTGATATGTGTATTCAAGTCACAGAGTTGAATATTCCCTTTCACAGAGTAGGTTTGAAACACTCTTTTTGTAGTATCAGGAAGTGGACATTTGGAGCGCCTTGACACTTATGGTGAAAAGGGAAATATCTTCCCATAAAAACTAGACAGAAGCATTCTGTGAAACTTGTTTGTGATGTTTGTACTCAACTAACAGAGTTGAACCTTTCTTTTTAGAGAGCAGTTTTGAAACACTCTTTCTGTAGAATCTGCAAGGGGATATTTGGATAGATTTCAGGATTTCGTTGGAAACGGGAATATCTTCATATAAAATCTCGACAGAAGCATTCTCAGAAACTTCTTTGTGATGTGTGCATTCAAGTCACAGAGTTGAACATTCCCTTTCGTACAGCAGTTTTGAAACACTCTTTCTGTAGTATCTGGAAGTGAACATTAGGACAGCTTTCAGCACTACGGTGAGAAAGGAAATATCTTCAAATAAAAACTAGACAGAAGCATTCTCATAAACTTTTTTGTGATGTGTGAACTCAGCTAACAGAGGTGGATCTTTCTTTTGATAGAGCAGTTCTGAAAAACACTTTTTGTTGAATCTGCAAGTGGACATTTGGATAGATTTGAAGATTTCGTTGGAAACGGGAATATCTTCATATCAAATCTAGACAGACAGCATTCTCAGAAACGTCTTTGTGATGTTTGCATTCAACTCATAGAGTTGAACATTCCCTTTCAGAGAGCAGCTTTGAAGCACTCTTTTTGTAGCATGTGCAAGTGGACATTTGGAGCGCCCTGAGGCCTACGGGGAAAAAGCAAATATCTTCCCATAACCACTAGACAGAAACATTCTCAGAAACTCCTTTATGACGTATGCACTCACCTAACAGAGAAGAACCTTCCTTTTGACAGAGCAGTTTTGATACACTCTTTTTGTAGAATCTGCATGTGGATATTTGGATAGCTGTGAAGATTTCGTTGGAAACGGGAATATCTTCCTATAAAATCTAGACAGAAGCATTCTCAGAAACTGCTCTGTGATGTCTGCATTCAAGTCACAGAGTTGAACATTGCCTTTGATAGAGCAGGTTTGAAACGCTCTTTTTGTAGTATATGGAAGTGGACGTTTCGGACGGTTTGAGGCCCATGGTGATAAAGGGAATATCTTCCCCTACAAGCTAAAAAGAAGCATTGTGTGAAACTTGTTTGTGATGTGTGTACTCAACTAACAGAGTTGAACCTTTCTTTTTACAGAGCAGTTTTGAAACACTCTTTTTGTAGAATCTGCGAGGGGATATTTGGATACATTTCAGCATTTCGTTGGAAACGGGAATATCTTCATATAAAATCTCGACAGAAGCATTCTCAGAAACTTCTTTGTGATATCTGCCTTTAAGTCACAGCAGTTGAATATTCCCTTTCACAGAGTAGGTTTGAAACACTCTTTTTGTAGTATCTGGAAGTGGACATTTGGAGCGCCTTGACACCTACGGTGAAAAGGGAAATATCTTCCCATAAAAACTAGACAGAAGCAATCTCAGAATCTTCTTTGGGATATATGCACGCAGCTAACAGAGTTGAACCTTTCTATTGACAGAGCAGTTTTGAAACAGTCTTTCTGTGGAATTTGCAAGTGGATATTTGGATAGCTTGGAGGATTTCGTTGGAAACGGGATTACGTATAAAAAGTAGACAGCACCATCCTCAGAAACTTCTTTGTGATGTGTGCATTCAAGTCACAGAGTTGAACATTCCCTTTCGTACAGCAGTTTTGAAACACTCTTTCTGTAGTATCTGGAAGTGAACATTAGGACAGCTTTCAGGTCGATGGTGAGAAAGGAAATACCTTCAAATAAAAACTAGACAGAAGCATTCTCATAAACTTGTTTGTGATGTGTGAACTCAGCTAACAGAGGTGGATCTTTCTTTTGATAGAGCAGTTCTGAAAAACACTTTTTGTTGAATCTGCAAGTGGACATTTGGATAGATTTGAAGATTTCGTTCCAAACGGGAATATCTTCATATCAAATCTAGACAGAAGCATTCTCAGAAAACGTCTTTGTGATGTTTGCATTCAACTCATAGAGTTGAACATTCCGTTTCAGAGAGCAGGTTTGAAGCACTCTTTTTGTAGTATGTGCAAGTGGATATTTGGAGCGCTCTGAGGCCTACGGTGAAAAAGCAAATATCTTCCCATAACCACTAGACAGAAACATTCTCAGAAACTCCTTTATGACGTATGCACTCACCTAACAGAGAAGAACCTTCCTTTTGACAGAGCAGTTTTGATACACTCTTTTTGTAGAATCTGCAAGTGGATATTTGGATACCTGTGAAGATTTCGTTGGAAACGGGAATATCTTCCTATAAAATCTAGACAGAAGCATTCTCAGAAACTGCTCTGGGATGTCTGCATTCAAGTCACAGAGTTGAACATTGCCTTTCATAGAGCAGGTTTGAAACGCTCTTTTTGTAGTATATGGAAGTGGACTTATCGGACGGTTTGAGGCCCATGGTGATAAAGGGAATATCTTCCCCTACAAGCTAGAAAGAAGCATTCTGTGAAACTTGTTTGTGATGTGTGTACTCAACTAACAGAGTTGAACCTCTCTTTTTACAGAGCAGTTTTGAAACACTCTTTTTGTAGAATCTGCGAGGGGATATTTGGATACATTTCAGCATTTCGTTGGAAACGGGAATATCTTCATATAAAATCTCGACAGAAGCATTCTCAGAAACTTCTTTGTGATATCTGCATTCAAGTCACAGAGTTGAATATTCCCTTTCACAGAGTAGGTTTGAAACACTCTTTTTGTAGTATCTGGAAGTGGACATTTGGAGCGCCTTGACGCCTACGGTGAAAAGGGAAATATCTTCCATAAAAACTAGACAGAAGCAATCTCAGAATCTTCTTTGGGATATATGCACGCAGCTAACAGAGTTGAACCTTTCTATTGACAGAGTAGTTTTGAAACAGTCTTTCTGTGGAATCTGCAAGTGGATATTTGGATAGCTTGGAGGATTTCGTTGGAAACGGGATTAAGTATAAAAAGTAGACAGCAGCATCCTCAGAAACTTCTTTGTGATGTGTGCATTCAAGTCACAGAGTTGAACATTCCCTTTCCCACAGCAGTTTTGAAACACTCTTTCTGTAGTATCTGGAAGTGAACATTAGGACAGCTTTCAGGTCTATGGTGAGAAAGGAAATATCTTCAAATAAAAACTAGACAGAAGCATTCTCATAAACTTGTTTGTGATGTGTGAACTCAGCTAACAGAGGTGGATCTTTCTTTTGATACAGCAGTTCTGAAAAACACTTTTTGTTGAATCTGCAAGTGGACATTTGGATAGATTTGAAGATTTCGTTGGAAACGGGAATATCTTCATATCAAATCTAGACAGAAGCATTCTCAGAAACGTCTTTCCGATGTTTGCATTCAACTCATAGAGTTGAACATTCCGTTTCAGAGAGCAGCTTTGAGGCACTCTTTTTGTAGTATGTGCAAGTGGATATTTGGAGCGCTCTGAGGCCTACGGTGAAAAAGCAAATATCTTCCCATAACCACTAGACAGAAACATTCTCAGAAACTCCGTTTATGACGTATGCACTCACCTAACAGAGAAGAACCTTTCTTTTGACAGAGCAGTTTTCATACACTCTTTTGGTAGAATCTGCAAGTGGATATTTGGATAGCTGTGAAGATTTCGTTGGAAACGGGAATATCTTCCTATAAAATCTAGACAGAAGCATTCTCAGAAACTGCTCTGTGATGTCTGCATTCAAGTCACAGAGTTCAACATTGCCTTTCATAGAGCAGGTATGATACGCTCTTTTTGTAGTATGTGGAAGTGGACGTTTCGGACGGTTTGAGGCCCATGGTGATAAAGGGAATATCTTCCCCTACAAGCTAGAAAGAAGCATTCTGTGAAACTTGTTTGTGATGTGTGTACTCAACTAACAGGGTTGAACCTTTCTTTTTACAGAGCAGTTTTGAAACACCCTTTGTAGAATCTGCGAGGGGATATTTGGATAGATTTCAGGATTTCGTTGGAAACGGGAATATCTTCATATAAAATCTCGACAGAAGCATTCTCAGAGACTTCATTGTGATATCTGCATTCAAGTCACAGAGTTGAATATTCCCTTTCACAGGGTAGGTTTGAAACACTCTTTTTGTAGTATCTGGAAGTGGACATTTGGAGCGCCTTGACACCTACGGTGAAAAGGGAAATATCTTCCCATAAAAACTAGACAGAAGCAATCTCAGAATCTTCTTTGGGATATATGCACGCAGCTAACAGAGTTGAACCTTTCTATTGACAGAGCAGTTTTGAAACAGTCTTTCTGTGGAATCTGCAAGTGGATATTTGGATAGCTTGGAGGATTTCGTTGGAAACGTCATTACGTATAAAAAGTAGACAGCAGCATCCTCAGAAACTACTTTGTGATGTGTGCATTCAAGTCACAGAGTTGAACATTCCCTTTCGTACAGCAGTTTTGAAACACTCTTTCTGTAGTATCTGGAAGTGAACATTAGGACAGCTTTCAGGTCTATGGTGAGAAAGGCAATATCTTCAAATAAAAACTAGATAGAAGCATTCTCATAAACCTGTTTGTGATGTGTGAACTCAGCTAACCGAGGTGGATCTTTCTTTTGATAGAGCAGTTCTGAAAAACACTTTTTGTTGAATCTGCAAGTGGACATTTGGATAGATTTGAAGATTTCGTTGGAAACGGGAATATCTTCATATCAAATCTAGACAGAAGCATTCTCAGAAACGTGTTTGTGATGTTTGCATTCAACCCATAGAGTTGAAGATTCCGTTTCAGAGAGCAGCTTTGAAGCGCTCTTTTTGTAGTATGTGCAAGGGGATATTTTGAGCGCTCTGAGGCCTAAGGTGAAAAAGCAAATATCTTCCCATAACCACTAGACAGAAACATTCTCAGAAACTTCTTTATGACGTATGTACTCAACTAGTAGAGAAGAACTTTCCTTTTGACAGAGCATTTTTGATACACTCTTGTTGTACTATCTGCAAGTGGATATTTGGATAGCTGTGAAGATTTCGTTGGAAACGGGAATATCTTCCTATAAAGTCTGGACAGAAGCATTCTCAGAAACTGCTCTGTGATGTCTGCATTCAAGTCACAGAGTTGAACATTGCCTTTCATAGAGCAGGTTTGAAACCCTCTTTTTGTAGTATATGGAAGTGGACGTTTCGGACGGTTTGAGGCCCATGGTGATAAAGGGAATATCTTCCCCTACCAGCTAGAAAGAAGCATTCTGTGAAACTTGTTTGTGGTGTGTGTACTCATCTTACAGAGTTGAACCTTTCTTTTTACAGAGCAGTTTTGAAACACTCTTTTTGTAGAATCTGCGAGGGGTTATTTGGATAGATTTCAGGATTTCGTTGGAAACGGGAATATCTTCATATAAAATCTCGACAGAAGCATTCTCAGAAACTTCTTTGTGATATGTGCATTCAAGTCACAGAGTTGAATATTCCCTTTCACAGAGTAGGTTTGAAACACTCTTTTTGTAGTATCTGGAAGTGGACATTTGGAGCGCCTTGACGCCTACGGAGAAAAGGGAAATATCTTCCCATAAAAACTAGACAGAAGCAATCTCAGAATCTTCTTTGGGATATATGTACGCAGCTAATAGAGTTGAACCTTTCTATTGACAGAGCAGTTTTGAAACAGTCTTTCTGTGGAATCTGCAAGTGGATATTTGGATAGCTTGGAGGATTTCGTTGGAAACGGGATTACGTATAAAAAGTAGACAGCAGCATCCTCAGAAACTTCTTTGTGATGTGTGCATTCAAGTCACAGAGTTGAACATTCCCTTTCGTACAGCAGTTTTGAAACACTCTTTCTGTAGTATCTGGAAGTGAACATTAGGACAGCTTTCAGGTCTATGGTGAGAAAGGAAATATCTTCAAATAAAAACAAGACAGAAGCATTCTCATAAACTTGTTTGTGATGTGTGAACTCAGCTAACAGAGGTGGATCTTTCTTTTGATAGAGCAGTTCTGAAAAACACTTTTTGTTGAATCTGCAAGTGGACATTTGGATAGATTTGAAGATTTCGTTGGAAACGGGAATATCTTCATATCAAATGTAGACAGAAGCATTCTCAGAAACGTCTTTGTGATGTTTGCATTCAACTCATAGAGTTGAACATTCCCTTTCAGAGAGCAGCTTTGAAGCACCTCTTTTTGTAGTATGTGCAAGTGGATATTTGGAGCGCTGTGAGGCCTACGGTGAAAAAGCAAATATCTTCCCATAACCACTAGACAGAAACATTCTCAGAAACTCCTTTATGACGTATGCACTCACCTAACAGAGAAGAACCTTCCTTTTGACAGAGTAGTTTGGATACACTCTTTTTGTAGAATCTGCAAGTGGATATTAGGATAGCTGTGAAGATTTCGTTGGAAACGGGAATATCTTCCTATAAAATCTAGACAGAAGCATTCTCAGAAACTGCTCTGTGATGTCTGCATTCAAGTCACAGAGTTGAACATTGCTTTTCCTAGAGCAGGTTTGAAACGCTCTTTTTGTAGTATATGGAAGTGGACGTTTCGGACGGTTTGAGGCCCATGGTGTTAAAGGGAAATATCTTTCCCTACAAGCTAGAAAGAAGCATTCTGTGAAACTTGTTTGTGATGTGTGTACTCAACTAACAGAGTTGAACCTTTCTTTTTACAGAGCAGTTTTGAAACACTCTTTTTGTAGAATCTGCGAGGGGATATTTGGATAGATTTCAGGATTTCGTTGGAAACGGGAATATCTTCATAGAAAATCTCGACAGAAGCATTCTCTGAAACTTCTTTGTGATATGTGCACTCAAGTCACAGAGTTGAATATTCCCTTTCACAGAGTAGGTTTGAAACACTCTTTTTGTAGTATCTGGAAGTGGACATTTGTAGCTCCTTGACACCTACGGTGAAAAGGGAAATATCTTCCCATAAAAACTAGACAGAAGCAATCTCAGAATCTTCTTTGGGATATATGCACGCAGCTAACAGAGTTGAACCTTTCTATTGACAGACCAGTTTTGAAACAGTCTTTCTGTGGAATCTGCAAGTGGATATTTGGATAGCTTGGAGGATTTCGTTGGAAACGGGATTACGCATAAAAAGTAGACAGCAGCATCCTCCGAAACTTCTTTGTGATGTGTGCATTCAAGTCACAGAGTTGAACATTCCCTTTCGTACAGCAGTTTTGAAACACTCTTTCTGTAGTATCTGGAAGTGAACATTAGGACAGCTTTCAGCTCTATGGTGAGAAAGGAAATATCTTCAAATAAAAACTAGACAGAAGCATTCTCATAAACTTGTTTGCGATGTGTGAACTCAGCTAACAGAGATGGATCTTTCTTTTGATAGAGCAGTTCTGAAAAACACTTTTTGTTGAATCTGCAAGTGGACATTTGGATAGATTTGAAGATTTCGTTGGAAACGGGAATATCTTCATATCAAATCTAGACAGAAGCATTCTCCGAAACGTCTTTGCGATGTTTGCATTCAACTCATAGAGTTGAACATTCCGTTTCAGAGAGCAGCTTTGAGGCACTCTTTTTGTAGTATGTGCAAGTGGATATTTGGAGCGCTCTGAGGCCTACGGTGAAAAAGCAAATATCTTCCCATAACCACTAGACAGAAGCATTCTCAGAAACTCCTTTATGACGTATGCACTCACCTAACAGAAAAGAACCTTCCTTTTGACAGAGCAGTTTTGATACACTCTTTTTGTAGAATCTGCAAGTGGATATTTGGATAGCTGTGAAGATTTCGTTGGAAACGGGAATATCTTCCTATAAAATTTAGACAGAAGCATTCTCAGAAACTGCTCTGTGATGTCTGCATTCAAGTCACAGAGTTGAACATTGCCTTTCATACAGCAGGTTTGAAATGCTCTTTTTGTAGTATATGGAAGTGGACTTTTCGGACGGTTTGAGGACCATGGTGATAAAGGGGAATCTTCCCCTACAAGCTAGAAAGAAGCATTCTGTTAAACTTGTTTGTGATGTGTGTACTCAACTAATAGATTTGAACCTTTCTTTTTACAGAGCAGTTTTGAAACACTCTTTTTGTAGAATCTGCGAGGGGATATTTGGATAGATTTCAGGATTTCGTTGGAAACGGGAATATCTTCATATAAAATCTCGAAAGAAGCATTCTCAGAAACTTCCTTGTGATATGTGCATTCAAGTCACAGAGTTGAATATTCCCTTTCACAGAGTAGGTTTGAAACACTCTTTTTGTAGTATCTGGAAGTCGACATTTGGAGCGCCTTGACACCTACGGTGAAAAGGGAAATATCTTCCCATAAAAACTAGACAGAAGCAATCTCAGAATCTTCTTTGGGATATATGCACGCAGCTAACAGAGTTGAACCTTTCTATTGACAGAGCAGTTTTGAAACAGTCTTTCTGTGGAATCTGTAAGTGGATATTTGGATAGCTTGGAGGATTTCGTTGGAAACGGGATTACGTATAAAAATTAGACAGCAGCATCCTCAGAAACTTCTTTGTGATGTGTGCATTCAAGTCACAGCAGTTGAACATTCCCTTTCGTACAGCAGTTTTGAAACACTCTTTCTGTAGTATCTGGAAGTGAACATTAGGACAGCTTTCAGGTCTAGGGTGAGAAAGGAAATACCTTCAAATAAAAACTAGACAGAAGCATTCTCATAAACTTGTTTGTGATGTGTTAACTCAGCTAACAGAGGTGGATCTTTCTTTTGATAGAGCAGTTCTGAAAAACACTTTTTGTTGAATCTGCAAGTGGACATTTGGATAGATTTGAAGATTTCTTTGGAAACGGGAATATCTTCATATCAAATCTAGACAGATAGGCATTCTCAGAAACGTCTTTGTGATGTTTGCATTCAACTCATAGAGTTGAACATTCCCTTTCAGAGAGCAGCTTTGAAGCACTCTTTTTGTAGTATGTGCAAGGGGATATTTGGAGCGCTCTGAGGCCTAAGGTGAAAAAGCAAATATCTTCCCATAACCACTAGACAGAAACATTCTCAGAAACTCCTTTATGACGTATGTACTCAACTAACAGAGAAGAACCTTCCTTTTGACAGAGCAGTTTTGATACACTCTTTTTGTAGAATCTGCAAGTGGATATTTGGATAGCTGTGAAGATTTCATTGGAAACGGGAATATCTTCCTATAAAATCCAGACAGAAGCATTCTCAGAAACTGCTCTGTGATGTCTGCATTCAAGTCACAGAGTTGAACATTGCCTTTCATAGAGTAGGTTTGAAACGCTCTTTTTGTAGTATATGGAAGTAGACGTTTCGGACGGTTTGAGGCCCATGGTGATAAAGGGAATATCTTCCCCTACAAGCTAGAAAGAAGCATTCTGTGAAACTTGTTTGTGATGTGTGTACTCAACTAACAGAGTTGGACCTTTCTTTTTACAGAGCAGTTTTGAAACACTCTTTTTGTAGAATCTGCGAGGGGATATTTGGATAGATTTCAGGATTTCGTTGGAAACGGGAATATCTTCATATAAAATCTCGACAGAAGCATTCTCAGAAACTTCCTTGTGATATGTGCATTCAAGTCACAGAGTTGAATATTCCCTTTCACAGAGTAGGTTTGAAACTCTCTTTTTGTAGTATCTGGAAGTGGTCATTTGGAGCGCCTTGACGCCTACGGTGAAAAGGGAAATATCTTCCCATCAAAACTAGACAGAAGCAATCTCAGAATCTTCTTTGGGATATATGCACGCAGCTAACAGAGTTGAACCATTCTATTGACAGAGCAGTTTTGAAACAGTCTTTCTGTGGAATCTGCAAGTGGATATTTGGATAGCTTGGAGGATTTCGTTGGAAACGGGATTACGTATAAAAAGTAGACAGCAGCATCCTCAGTAAACATCCTTGTGATGTGTGCATTCAAGTCACAGAGTTGAACATTCCCTTTCGTACAGCAGTTTTGAAACACTCTTTCTGTAGTATCTGGAAGTGAACTTTAGGACAGCTTTCAGGTCTATAGTTAGAAAGGATATATCTTCAAATAAAAACTAGACGGAAGCATTCTCATAAACTTGTTTGTGATGTGTGAACTCAGCTAACAGAGGTGGACCTTTCTTTTGATAGAGCAGTTCTGAAAAACACTTTTTGTTGAATCTGCAAGTGGACATTTGGATAGATTTGAAGATTTCGTTGGAAACGGGAATATCTTCATATCAAATCTAGACAGAAGCATTCTCAGAAACGTCTTTGCGATGTTTGCATTCAACTCATAGAGTTGAACACTCCGTTTCAGAGAGCAGCTTTGAGGCACTCTTTTTGTAGTATGTGCAAGTGGATATTTGGAGCGCTCTGAGGCCTACGGTGAAAGAGCAAATATCTTCCCATAACCACTAGACAGAAACATTCTCAGAAACTCCTCTTATGACGTATGTCATCTCAACTAACAGAGAAGAACCTTCCTTTTGACAGAGCAGTTTTGATACACTCTTTTTGTAGAATCTGCAAGTGGATATTTGGATAGCTGTGAAGATTTCGTTGGAAACGGGAATATCTTCCTATATAATCTAGACAGAAGCATTCTCAGAAACTGCTCTGTGATGTGTGCATTCAAGTCACAGAGTTGAACATTGACTTTCATAGAGCAGGTTAGAAACGCTCTTTTTGTACTATATGGAAGAGGACGTTTCGGACGGTTTGAGGACCATGGTGATAAAGGGAATATCTTCCCCTACAAGCTAGAAAGAAGCATTCTGTGATACTTGTTTGTGATGTGTGTACTCAACTAACAGAGTTGAACCTTTCTTTTTACAGAACAGTTTTGAAACACTCTTTTTGTAGAATCTGCGAGGGGATATTTGGATAGATTTCAGGATTTCGTTGGAAACGGGAATATCTTCATATAAAATCTCGACAGAAGCATTCTCAGAAACTTCTTTGTGATATGTGCATTCAAGTCACAGAGTTGAATATTCCCTTTCACAGAGTAGGTTTGAAACACTCTTTTTGTAATATCTGGAAGTGGACATTTGGAGCACCTTGACGCCTACGGTGAAAAGGGAAATATCTTCCCATAAAAACTAGACAGAAGCAATCTCAGAATCTTCTTTGGGATATATGCATGCAGCTAACAGAGTTGAACCTTTCTATTGACAGAGCAGTTTTGAAACAGTCTTTCTGTGGAATCTGCAAGTGGATATTTGGATAGCCTGGAGGATTTCGTTGGAAACGGGATTACGTATAAAAAGTAGACAGCAGCATCCTCAGAAACTTCTTTGTGATGTGTGCATTCAAGTCACAGAGTTGAACATTCCCTTTCGTACAGCAGTTGTGAAACACTCTTTCTGTAGTATCTGCAAGTGAACATTAGGACAGTTTTCAGGTCTATGGTGAGAAAGGAAATATCTTCAAATAAAAACTAGACAGAAGCATTCTCATAAACTTGTTTGTGATGTGTGAACTCAGCTAACAGAGGTGGATCTTTCTTTTGATAGAGCAGTTCTGAAAAACACTTTTTGTTGAATCTGCAAGTGGACATTTGGATAGATTTGAAGATTTCGTTGGTAACGGGAATATCTTCATATCAAATCTAGACAGAAGCATTCTCAGAAACGTCTTTGTCATGTTTGCATTCAACTCATAGAGTTGAACATTCCCTTTCAGAGAGCAGCTTTGAAACACTCTTTTTGTAGTATGTGCAAGTGGATATTTGGAGCGCTCTGAGGCCTACGGTGAAAAAGCAAATATCTTCCCATAACCACTAGACTGAAACATTCTCAGAAACTTCTTTATGACGTATGTACTGAACTAGCAGAGAAGAACTGTCCTCTTGACAGAGCATTTTTGATACACTCTTTTTGTAGTATCTGCAAGTGGATATTTGGATAGCTGTGAAGATTTCGTTGGAATCGGGAATATCTTCCTATAAAGTCCGGACAGAAGCATTCTCAGAAACTGCTCTGTGATGTCTGCATTCAAGTCACAGAGCTGAACATTGCCTTTCATAGAGCAGGTTTGAAACGCTCTTTTTGTAGTATATGGAAGTGGACGTTTCGGACGGTTTGAGGCCCATGGTGATAAAGGGAATATACTTCCCCTACAAGCTAGAAAGAAGCATTCTGTGAAAATTGTTTGTGATGTGTGTACTCAACTAACAGAGTTGAACCTTTCTTTTTACAGAGCAGTTTTGAAACACTCTTTTTGTAGAATCTGCGAGGGGATATTTGGATAGATTTCAGGATTTTGTTGGAAACCGGAATATCTTAATATAAAATCTCGACAGAAGCATTCTCAGAAACTTTCCTTGTGATATGTGCATTCAAGTCACAGAGTTGAATATTCCCTTTCACAGAGTAGGTTTGAAACACTCTTTTTGTAGTATCTGGAAGTGGTCATTTGGAGCGCCTTGACGCCTACGGTGAAAAGGGAAATATCTTCCCATAAAAACTAGACAGAAGCAATCTCAGAAACTTCTTTGGGATATTTGCACGCAGCTAACAGAGTTGAACCTTTCTATTGACAGAGCAGTTTTGAAACAGTCTTTCTGTGGAATCTGCAAGTGGATATTTGGATAGCTTGGAGGATTTCGTTGGAAACGGGATTACGTGTAAAAATTAGACAGCAGCATCCTCAGAAACTTCTTTGTGATGTGTGCATTCAAGTCACAGAGTTGAACATTCCCTTTCGTACAGCAGTTTTGAAACACTCTTTCTGTAGTAACTGGAAGTGAACATTAGGACAGCTTTCAGGTCTATGGTGAGAAAGGAAATATCTTCAAATAAAAACTAGACAGAAGCATTCTCATAAACTTGTTTGTGATGTGTGAACGCAGCTAACACACGTGGATCTTTCTTTTGATAGAGCAGTTCTGAAAAACACTTTTTGTTGAATCTGCAAGTGGACATTTGGATAGATTTGAAGATTTCTTTGGAAACGGGAATATCTTCATATCAAATCTAGACAGAAGCATTCTCAGAAACGTCTTTGTGATGGTAGCATTCAGCTCATACAGTTGAACATTCCCTTTCAGAGAGCAGCTTTGAAGCACTCTTTTTGTAGTATGTGCAAGTGGACATTTGGAGCGCTTTGAGGTCTACGGGGAAAAAGCAAATATCTTCCCATATCCCCTAGACAGGAACATTCTCAGAAACTCCTTTATGACGTATGTACTCAACTAACGGAGAAGAACCTTCCTTTTGACAGAGCAGTTTTGATACACTCTTTTTGTAGAATCTGCAAGTGGATATTTGGATAGCTGTGAAGATTTCGTTGGAAACGGGAATATCTTCCTATAAAATCTAGACAGAAGCATTCTCAGAAACTGCTCTGTGATGTCTGCATTCAAGTCACAGAGTTGAACATTGCCTTTCCTAGAGCAGGTTTGAAACGCTCTTTGTGTAGTATATGGAAGTGGACGTTTCGGACGGTTTGAGGCCCATGGTGATAAAGGGAATATCTTCCCCTACAAGCTAGAAAGAAGCATTCTCATCAACTTGTTTGTGATGTGTGAACTCAGCTAACAGAGGTGGATCTTTCTTTTGATAGAGCAGTTCTGAAAAACACTTTTTGTTGAATCTGCAAGTGGACATTTGGATAGATTTGAAGATTTCGTTGGAAACGGGAATATCTTCATATAAAATCTCGACAGAAGCATTCTCAGAAACTTCCTTGTGATATGTGCATTCAAGTCACAGAGTTGAATATTCCCTTTCACAGAGTAGGTTTGAAACACTCTTTTTGTAGTATCTGGAAGTGGACATTTGGAGCGCCTTGACACCTACGGTGAAAAGGGAAATATCTTCCCATCAAAACTAGACAGAAGCTATCTCAGAATCTTCTTTGGGATATATGCACGTAGCTAACAGAGTTGAACCTTTCTTTTGACAGAGCAGTTTTGAAACAGTCTTTCTGTGGAATCTGCAAGTGGATATTTGGATAGCTTGGAGGATTTCGTTGGAAACGGGATTATGTATAAAAAGTAGACAGCAGCATCCTCAGAAACTTCTTTGTGATGTGTGCATTCAAGTCACAGAGTTGAACATTCCCTTTCGTACAGCAGTTTTGAAACACTCTTTCTGTAGTATCTGGAAGTGAACATTAGGACAGCTTTCAGCTCCTATGGTGAGAAAGGAAATATCTTCAAATAAAAACTAGACAGAAGCATTCTCATAAACTTGTTTGTGATGTGTGAACTCAGCTAACAGACGTGGATCTTTCTTTTGATACAGCAGTTTTGAAAAACACTTTTTGTTGAATCTGCAAGTGGACATTTGGATAGATTTGAAGATTTCCTTGGAAACGGGAATATCTTCATATCAAATCTAGACAGAAGCATTCTTGGAAACGTCTTTGTGATGTTTGCATTCAACTCATAGAGTTGAACATTCCGTTTCAGAGAGCAGCTTTGAAGCACTCTTTTTGTAGTATGTGCAAGTGGATATTTGGAGCGCTCTGAGGCCTACGGTGAAAAAGCAAATATCTTCCCATAACCACTACACAGAAACATTCTCAGAAACTCCTTTATGACGTATGCACTCACCTAACAGAGAAGAACCTTCCTTTTGACAGACCACTTTTGATACACTCTTTTTGTAGAATCTGAAAGTGGATATTTGGATAGCTGTGAAGATTTCGTTGGAAACGGGAATATCTTCCTATAAAATCTAGACAGAAGCATTCTCAGAAACTGCTCTGTGATGTCTGCATTCAAGTCACAGAGTTCAACATTGCCTTTCATAGAGCAGGTTTGAAACGCTCTTTTTGTAGTATATGGAAGTGGATGTTTCGGACGGTTGGAGTCCCATGGTGATAAAGGGAATATCTTCCCCTACAAGCTAGAAAGAAGCATTCTGTGAAACTTGTTTGTGATGTGTGTACTCAACTAACAGAGTTGAACCTTTCTTTTCACAGAGCAGTTTTGAAACACTCTTTTTGTAGAATCTGCGAGCGGATATTTGGATAGATTTCAGGATTTCGTTGGAAACGGGAATATCTTCATATAAAATCTCGACAGAAGCATTCTCAGAAGCTTCGTTGTGATATGTGCATTCAAGTCACAGAGTTGAATATTCCCTTACACAGAGTAGGTTTGAAACACACTTTTTGTAGTATCTGGAAGTGGACTTTTGGAGCGCCTTGATGCCTACGGTGAAAAGGGAAATATCTTCTCATAAAAAGTAGACAGAAAGCAATCTCAGAAATCTTCTTTGGGATATATGCACGCAGCTAACAGAGTTGAACCTTTCTATTGACAGAGCAGTTTTGAAACAGTCTTTCTGTGGAATCTGCAAGTGGATATTTGGATAGCTTGGAGGATTTCGTTGGAAACGGGATTAAGTATAAAAAGTAGACAGCAGCATCCTCAGAAACATCCTTGTGATGTGTGCATTCAAGTCACAGAGTTGAACATTCCCTTTCCTACAGCAGTTTTGAAACACTCTTTCTGTAGTATCTGGAAGTGAACTTTAGGAGAGCTTTCAGGTCTATAGTGAGAAAGGATATATCTTCAAATAAAAGCTAGACAGAAGCATTCTGATAAACTTGTTTGTGAAGTGTGATCTCAGCTAACAGAGGTGGATCTTTCTTTTGATAGAGCAGTTCTGAAAAACACTTTGTTGAATCTGCAAGTGGACATTTGGATAGATTTGAAGATTTCTTTGGAAACGGGAATATCTTCATATCAAATCTAGACAGAAAGCATTCTCAGAAACGTCTTTGTCATGTTTGCATTCAACTCATAGAGTTGAACATTCCCTTTCAGAGAGCAGCTTTGAAACACTCTTTTTGTAGTATGTGCAAGTGGATATTTGGAGCGCTCTGAGGCCTACGGTGAAAAAGCAAATATCTTCCCATAACCACTAGACAGAAACATTCTCAGAAACTCCTTTATGACGTATGCACTCACCTAACAGAGAAGAACCTTCCTTTTGACAGAGCAGTTTTGATACACTCTTTTTGTAGAATCTGCAAGTGGATATTTGGATAGCTGTGAAGATTTCGTTGGAAACGGGAATATCTTCCTATAAAATCTATACAGAAGGATTCTCAGAAACTGCTCTGTGATGTCTGCATTCAAGTCACAGAGTTGAACATTGCCTTTCATAGAGCAGGTTTGAAACGCTCTTTTTGTAGTATATGGAAGTGGACTTTTCGGACGGTTTGAGGCCCATGGTGATAAAGGGAATATCTTCCCCTACAAGCTAGAAAGAAGCATTCTCTGAAACTTGTTTGTGATGTGTGTACTCAACTAACAGAGTTGAACCTTTCTTTTTACAGAGCACTTTTGAAACACTCTTTTTGTAGAATCTGCGAGGGGATATTTGGATAGATTTCAGGATTTCGTTGGAAACGGGAATATCTTCATATAAAATCTCGACAGAAGCATTCTCAGAAACTTCTTTGTGATATGTGTATTCAAGTCACAGAGTTGAATATTCGCTTTCATAGAGTAGGTTTGAAACACTCTTTTTGTAGTATCTGGAAGTGGATATTTGGAGCGCCTTGACGCCTACGGTGAAAAGGGAAATATCTTCCCATAAAAACTAGACAGAAGCAATCTCAGAATCTTCTTTGGGATATATGTACGCAGCTAATAGAGTTGAACCTTTCTATTGACAGAGCAGTTTTGAAACAGTCTTTCTGTGGAATCTGCAAGTGGATATTTGGATAGCTTGGAGGATTTCGTTGGAAACGGGATTACGGTATAAAAAGTAGACAGCAGCATCCTCAGAAACTTCCTTGTGATGTGTGCATTCAAGTCACAGAGTTGAACATTCCCTTTCGTACAGCATTTTTGAAACACTCTTTCTGTAGTATCTGGAAGTGAACTTTATGAGAGCTTTCAGGTCTATAGTGAGAAAGGATATATCTTCAAATAAAAACTAGACAGAAGCATTCTCATAAACTTGTTTGTGATGTGTGAACTCAGCTAACAGAGGTGGATCTTTCTTTTGATAGAGCAGTTCTGAAAAACACGTTTTGTTGAATCTGCAAGTGGACATTTGGATAGATTTGAAGATGTCATTGGAAACGGGAATATCTTCATATCAAATCTAGACAGAAGCATTCTCAGAAACGTCTTTGTGATGTTTGCATTCAACTCATAGAGTTGAACATTCCGTTTCAGAGACCAGCTTTGAAGCACTCTTTTTGTAGTATGTGCAAGTGGATATTTGGAGCGCTCTGAGGCCTACGGTGAAAAAGCAAATATCTTCCCATAACCACTAGACAGAAAACATTCTCAGTAAACTCCTTTATGACGTATGCACTCACCTAACAGAGGAAGAACCTTCCTTTTGACAGAGCAGTTTTGATACACTCTTTTTGTAGAATCTGCAAGTGGATATTTGGATAGCTGTGAATATTTCGTTGGAAACGGGAATATCTTCCTATAAAATCTAGACAGAAGCATTCTCAGAAACTACTCTGTGATGTCTGCATTCAAGTCACAGAGTTGAACATTGCCTTTCCTAGAGCAGGTTTGAAACGCTCTTTTTGTAGTATATGGAAGTGGACGTTTCGGACGGTTTGAGGACCATGGTGATAAAGGGAATATCTTCCCCTACAAGCTAGAAAGAAGCATTCTGTGAAACTTGTTTGTGAGGTGTGTACTCAACTAACAGAGTTGAACCTTTCTTTTTACAGAGCAGTTTTGAAACACTCTTTTTGTAGAATCTGCGAGGGGATATTTGGATAGATTTCAGGATTTCGTTGGAAAGGGGAATATCTTCATATAAAATTCTCGACAGAAGCATTCTCAGAAACTTCTTTGTGATATGTGCATTCAAGTCACAGAGTTGAATATTCCCTTTCACAGAGTAGGTTTGAAACACTCTTTTTGTAGTATCTGGAAGTGGACATTTGGAGCGCCTTGACAACTACGGTGAAAAGGGAAATATCTTCCCATAAAAACTAGACAGAAGCAATCTCAGAATCTTCTTTGGGATATATGCACGCAGCTAACAGAGTTGAACCTTTCTATTGACAGAGCAGTTTTGAAACAGTCTTTCTGTGGAATCTGCAAGTGGATATTTGGATAGCTTGGAGGATTTCGTTGGAAACGGGATTACGTATAAAAAGTAGCCAGCAGCATCCTCAGAAACTTCTTTGTGATGTGTGCATTCAAGTCACAGAGTTGAACATTCCCTTTCGTACAGCAGTTTTGAAACACTCTTTCTGTAGTATCTGGAAGTGAACATTAGGACAGCTTTCAGGTGTATGGTGAGAAAGGAAATATCTTCAAATAAAAACTAGACAGAAGCATTCTCATAAACTTGTTTGTGATGTGTGAACTCAGCTAACACACGTGGATCTTTCTTTTGATAGAGCAGTTCTGAAAAACACTTTTTGTTGAATCTGCAAGAGGACATTTGGATAGATTTGAAGATTTCGTTGGAAACGGGAATATCTTCATATCAAATCTAGACAGAAGCATTCTCAGAAACGTCGTTGTGATGTTTGCATTCAACTCATAGAGTTGAACATTCCCTTTCAGAGAGCAGCTTTGAAGCACTCTTTTTGTAGTATGTGCAAGTGGACATTTGGAGCGCTTTGAGGCGTACGGGGAAAAAGCAAATATCTTCCCATAACCACCAGACAGAAACATTCTCAGAAACTCCTTTATGACGTATGCACTCACCTAACAGAGAAGAACCTGCCTTTTGACAGAGCAGTTTTGATACACTCTTTTTGTAGAATCTGCAAGTGGATATTTGGATAGCTGTGAAGATTTCGTTGGAAACGGGAATATCTTCCTATAAAATCTAGACAGAAGCATTCTCAGAAACTGCTCTGTGATGTCTGCATTCAAGTCACAGAGTTGAACGTTGCCTTTCATAGAGCAGGTTTGAAACACTCTTTTTGTAGTATATGGAAGTGGACGTTTCGGACGGTTTGAGGCCCATGGTGATAAAGGGAATATCTTCCCCTACAAGCTAGAAAGAAGCATTCTGTGAAACTTGTTTGTGATGTGTGTACTCAACTAACAGAGTTGAACCTTTCTTTTTACAGAGCAGTTTTGAAACACTCTTTTTGTAGAATCTGCGAGGGGATATTTGGATAGATTTCAGGATTTCGTTGGAAAAGGGAATATCTTCATATAAAATCTCGACAGAAGCATTCTCAGAAACTTCTTTGTGATATGTGCATTCAAGTCACAGAGTTGAATATTCCCTTTCACAGAGTAGGTTTGAAACACTCTTTTTGTAGTATCTGGAAGTGGACATTTGGAGCGCGTTGACACCTATGGTGAAAAGGGAAATATCTTCCCATAAAAACTAGACAGAAGCAATCTCAGAATCTTCTTTGGGATATATGCACGCAGCTAACAGAGTTGAACCTTTCTATTGACAGAGCAGTTTTGAAACAGTCTTTCTGTGGAATCTGCAAGTGGATATTTGGATAGCTTGGAGGATTTCGTTAGAAACGGGATTACGTATAAAAAGTAGAAAGCAGCATCCTCAGAAACTTCTTTGTGATGTGTGCATTCAAGTCACAGAGTTGAACATTCCCTTTCGTACAGCAGTTTTGAAACACTCTTTCTGTAGTATCTGGAAGTGAACATTAGGAAAGCTTTCAGGTCTATGGTGAGAAAGGAAATATCTTCAAATAAAAACTAGACAGAAGCATTCTCATAAACTTGTTTGTGATGTGTGAACTCAGCTAACAGACGTGGATCTTTCTTTTGATACAGCAGTTTTGAAAAACACTTTTTGTTGAATCTGCAAGTGGACATTTGGATAGATTTGAAGATTTCGTTGGAACCGGGAATATCTTCATATCAAATCTAGACAGAAGCATTCTCAGAAACGTCTTTGTGATGTTTGCATTCAACTCATAGAGTTGAACATTCCCTTTCAGAGAGCAGCTTTGAAGCACTCTTTTTGTAGTATGTGCAAGGGGATATTTGGAGCGCTCTGAGGCCTACGGTGAAAAAGCAAATATCTTCCCATAACCACTAGACAGAAACATTCTCAGAAACTCCTTTATGACGTATGCACTCACCTAACAGAGAAGAACCTTCCTTTTGACAGAGCAGTTTTGATACACTCTTTTTGTAGAATCTGCAAGTGGATATTTGGATAGCTGTGAAGGTTTCTTTGGAAACGGAAATATCTTCCTATAAAATCTAGACAGAAGCATTCTCAAAACTGCTCTGTGATGTCTGCATTCAAGTCACAGAGTTGAACATTGCCTTTCATAGAGCAGGTTTGAAACGCTCTTTTTGTAGTATATGGAAGTAAACGTTTCGGACGGTTTGAGGCCCATGGTGATAAAGGGAATATCTTCCCCTACAAGCTAGAAAGAAGCATTCTGTGAAACTTGTTTGTGATGTGTGTACTCAACTAACAGAGTTGAACCTTTCTTTTTACAGGAGCAGTTTTGAAACACTCTTTTTGTAGAATCTGCGAGGGGATATTTGGATACATTTCAGGATTTCGTTGGAAACGGGAATATCTTCATATAAAATCTCGACAGAAGCATTCTCAGAAACTTCTTTGTGGTATGTGCATTCAAGTCACAGAGTTGAATATTCCCTTTCACAGAGTATGTTTGAAACACTCTTTTTGTAGTATCTGGAAGTGGACATTTGGAGCGCCTTGACGCCTACGGTGAAAAGGGAAATATCTTCCCATAAAAACTAGACAGAAGCAATCTCAGAATCTTCTTTGTGATATATGCACGCAGCTAACAGAGTTGAACCTTTCTATTGACTGAGCAGATTTGAAACAGTCTTTCTGTGGAATCTGCAAGTGGATATTTGGATAGATTGGAGGATTTCGTTGGAAACGGGATTACGTATAAAAAGTAGACAGCAGCATCCTCAGAAACTTCTTTGTGATGTGTGCATTCAAGTCACAGAGTTGAACATTCCCTTTCGTACAGCAGTTTTGAAACACTCTTTCTGTAGTATCTGGAAGTGAACATTAGGACAGCTTTCAGCTCTACGGTGAGAAAGGAAATATCTTCAAATAAAAACTAGACAGAAGCATTCTCATAAACTTGTTTGTGATGTGTGAACTCAGTTAACAGAGGTGGATCTTTCTTTTGATAGAGCAGTTCTGAAAAACACTTTTTGTTGAATCTGCAAGTGGACATTTGGATAGATTTCAAGATTTCGTTGGAAACGGGAATATCTTCATATCAAATCTAGACAGAAGCATTCTCAGAAACGTCTTTGTGATGTTAGCATTCAACTCATAGAGTTGAACATTCCCTTTCAGAGAGCAGCTTTGAAGCACTCTTTTTGTTGTATGTGCAAGTGGATATTTGGAGCGCTCTGAGGCCTATGGTGAAAAAGCAAATATCTTCCCATAACCACTAGACAGAAACATTCTCAGAAACTCCTTTATGACGTATGCACTCACCTAACAGAGAAGAACCTTCCTTTTGACAGAGCAGTTTTGATACACTCTTTTTGTAGAATATGCAAGTGGATATTTGGATAGCTGTGAAGATTTCGTTGGAAACGGGAATATCTTCCTATAAATTCTAGACAGAAGCATTCTCAGAAACTGCTCTGTGATGTCTGCATTCAAGTCACAGAGTTGAACATTGCCTTTCATAGAGCAGGTTTGAAACGCTCTTTTTGTAGTATATGGAAGTGGATGTTTCTGACGGTTGGAGGCCCATGGTGATAAAGGGAATATCTTCCCCTACAAGCTAGAAAGAAGCATTCTGTGAAACTTGTTTGTGATGTGTGTACTCAACTAACAGAGTTGAACCTTTCTTTTCACAGAACAGTTTTGAAACACTCTTTTTGTAGAATCTGCGAGCGGATATTTGGATAGATTTCAGGATTTCGTTGGAAACGGGAATATCTTCATATAAAATCTCGACAGAAGCATTCTCAGAAACTTCTTTGTGATATCTCCATTCAAGTCACAGAGTTGAATATTCCCTTTCACAGAGTAGGATTGAAACACTCTTTTTGTAGTATCTGGAAGTGGACATTTGGAGCGCCTTGACACCTATGGTGAAAAGGGAAATATCTTCCCATAAAAACTAGACAGAAGCAATCTCAGAATCTTCTTTGGGATATATGCACGCAGCTAACAGAGTTGAACCTTTCTATTGACAGACCAGTTTTGAAACAGTCTTTCTGTGGAATCTGCAAGTGGATATTTGGATAGCTTGGAGGATTTCGTTGGAAACGGGATTACGTATAAAAAGTAGACAGCAGCATCCTCAGAAACTTCTTTGTGATGTGTGCATTCAAGTCACAGAGTTGAACATTCCCTTTCGTACAGCAGTTTTGAAACACTCTTTCTGTAGTATCTGGAAGTGAATATTAGGACAGCTTTCACGTCTATATTGAGAAAGGAAATATCTTCAAATAAAAACTAGACAGAAGCATTCTCATAAACTTGTTTGTGATGTGTGAACTCAGCTAACAGAGTTGGATCTTTCTTTTGATAGAGCAGTTCTGAAAAACACTTTTTGTTGAATCTGCAAGTGGACATTTGGATAGATTTGAAGATTTCGTTGGAAACGGGAATATCTTCATATCAAATCTAGACAGAAGCATTCTCAGAAACGTCTTTGCGATGTTTGCATTCAACTCATAGAGTTGAACATTCCGTTTCAGAGAGCAGCCTTGAGGCACTCTTTTTGTAGTATGTGCAAGTGGATATTTGGAGCGCTCCTGAGGCCTACGGTGAAAAAGCAAATATCTTCCCATAACCACTAGACAGAAACATTCTCAGAAACTCCTTTATGACGTATGCACTCACCTAACAGAGAAGAACCTTCCTTTTGACAGAGCAGTTTTGATACACTCTTTTTGTAGAATCTGCAAGTGGATATTTGGATAGCTGTGAAGATTTTGTTGGAAACGGGAATATCTTCCTATAAAATCTAGACAGAAGCATTCTCAGAAACTGCTCTGTGATGTCTGCATTCAAGTCACAGAGCTGAACATTGCCTTTCATAGAGAAGGTTTGAAACGCTCTTTTTGTAGTATATGGAAGTGGACGTTTCGGACAGTTTGAGGCCCATGGTGATAAAGGGAATATCTTCCCCTACAAGCTAGAAAGAAGCATTCTGTGAAACTTGTTTGTGATGTGTGTACTCAACTAACAGAGTTGAACCTTTCTTTTTACAGAGCAGTATTGAAACACTCTTTTTGAAGAATCTGCGAGGGGATATTTGAATAGATTTCAGGATTTCGTTGGAAACGGGAATATCTTCATATAAAATCTCGACAGAAGCATTCTCAGAAACTTCTTTGTGATATGTGCATTCAAGTCACAGAGTTGAATATTCCCTTTCACAGAGTAGGTTTGAAACACTCTTTTTGTAGTATCTGGAAGTGGACATTTGGAGCGCCTTGACGCCTAGGGTGAAAAGGGAAATATCTTCCCATAAAAACTAGACAGAAGCAATCTCAGAATCTTCTTTGGGATATATGCACGCAGCTAACAGAGTTGAACCTTTCTATTGACAGAGCAGTTTTGAAACAGTCTTTCTGTGGAATCTGCAAGTGGATATTTGGATAGCTTGGAGGATTTTTTTGGAAACGGGATTACGTATAAAAAGTAGACAGCAGCATCCTCAGAAACTTCTTTGTGATGTGTGCATTCAAGTCACAGAGTTGAACATTCCCTTTCGTACAGCAGTTTTGAAACACTCTTTCTGTAGTATCTGGAAGTGAACATTAGGACAGCTTTCAGGTCTATGGTAAGAAAGGAAATATCTTCAAATAAAAACTAGACAGAAGCATTCTCATAAACTTGTTTGTGATGTGTGAACTCAGCTAACAACGGTGGATCTTTCTTTTGATAGAGCAGTTCTGAAAAACACTTTTTGTTGAATCTGCAAGTGGACATTTGGATAGTTTTGAAGATTTCGTTGGAAACGGGAATATCTTCATATCAAATCTAGACAGAAGCATTCTCAGAAACGTCTTTGTGATGTTTGCATTCAACTCATAGAGTTGAACATTCCATTTCAGAGAGCAGCTTTGAGGCACTCTTTTTGTAGTATGTGCAAGTGGATATTTGGAGTGCTCTGAGGCCTACGGTGAAAAAGCAAATATCTTCCCATAACCACTAGACAGAAACATTCTCAGAAACTCCTTTATGACGTATGCACTCACCTAACAGAGAAGAACCTTCCTTTTGACAGAGCAGTTTTGATACACTCTTTTTGTAGAATCTGCAAGTGGATATTTTGATACCTGTGAAGATTTCGTTGGAAACGGGAATATCTTCCTATAAAATGCTAGACAGAAGCATTCTCAGAAACTGCTCTGTGATGTCTGCATTCAAGTCACAGAGTTGAACATTGCTTTTCATAGAGCAGGTTTGAAACGCTCTTTTTGTAGTATATGGAAGTGGATGTTTCGGACGGTTGGAGGCCCATGGTGATAAAGGGAATATCTTCCCCTACAAGCTAGAAAGAAGCATTCTGTGAAACTTGTTTGTGATGTGTGTACTCAACTAAGAAGGTTGAACCTTTCTTTTTACAGAGCAGTTTTGAAACACTCTTTTTGTAGAATCTGCGAGGGGATATTTGGATAGATTTCAGGATTTCGTTGGAAACGGGAATATCTTCATATAAAATCTCGACAGAAGCATTCTCAGAAACTTCTTTGTGATATCTGCATTCAAGTCACAGAGTTGAATATTCCCTTTCACAGAGTAGGTTTGAAACACTCTTTTTGTAGTATCTGGAAGTGGACATTTGGAGCGCCTTGACACCTACGGTGAAAAGGGAAATATCTTCCCATAAAAACTAGACAGAAGCAATCTCAGAATCTTCTTTGGGATATATGCACGCAGCTAACAGAGTTGAACCTTTCTTATTGACAGAGCAGTTTTGAAACAGTCTTTCTGTGGAATCTGCAAGTGGATATTTGGATAGCTTGGAGGATTTCGTTGGAAACGGGATTACGTATAAAAAGTAGACAGCAGCATCCTCAGAAACTTCTTTGTGATGTGTGCATTCAAGTCACAGAGTTGAACATTCCCTTTCGTACAGCAGTTTTCAAACACTCTTTCTGTAGTAACTGGAAGTGAACATTAGGACAGCTTTCAGGTCTATGGTGAGAAAGGAAATATCTTCAAATAAAAACTAGACAAAAGCATTCTCATAAACTTGTTTGTGATGTGTGAACTCAGCTAACAGAGGTGGATCTTTCTTTTGATAGAGCAGTTCTGAAAAACACTTTTTGTTGAATCTGCAAGTGGACATTTGGATAGATTTGAAGATTTCGTTGGAAACTGGAATATCTTCATATCAAATTTTGACAGAAGCATTCTCAGAAACGTCTTTGGGATGTTTGCATTCAACTCATAGAGTTGAACATTCCGTTTCAGAGAGCAGCTTTGAGGCACACTTTTTGTAGTATGTGCAAGTGGATATTTGGAGCGCTCTGAGGCCTACGGTGAAAAAGCAAATATCTTCCCATAACCACTAGACAGAAACATTCTCAGAAACTCCTTTATGACGTATGCACTCACCTAACATAGAAGAACCTTCCTTTTGACAGAGCAGTTTTGATACACTCTTTTTGTAGAATCTGCAAGTGGATATTTGGATAGCTGTGAAGATTTCGTTGGAAACAGGAATATCTTCCTATAAAATCTAGACAGAAGCATTCTCAGAAACTGCTCTGTGATGTCTGCATTCAAGTCACAGAGTTGAACATTGCCTTTCATAGAGCAGGTTTGAAATGCTCTTTTTGTAGTATATGGAAGTGGACGTTTCAGACGGTTTGAGGCCCATGGTGATAAAGGGAATATCTTCCCCTACAAGCTAGAAAGAAGCATTCTGTGAAACTTGTTTGTGATGTGTGTACTCAACTAACAGAGTTGAACCTTTCTTTTTACAGAGCAGTTTTGAAACACTCTTTTTGTAGAATCTGCGAGGGCATATTTGGATAGATTTCAGGATTTCGTTGGAAAGGGGAATATCTTCATATAAAATCTCGACAGAAGCATTCTCAGAAACTTCTTTGTGATATCTGCCTTCAAGTCACAGAGTTGAATATTCCCTTTCACACAGTAGGTTTGAAACACTCTTTTTGTAGTATCTGGAAGTGGACATTTGGAGCGCCTTGACGCCTACGGTGAAAAGGGAAATATCTTCCCATAAAAACTAGACAGAAGCAATCTCAGAATTTTCTTTGGGATATATGCACACAGCTAACAGAGTTGAACTTTTCTATTGACATAGCAGTTTTGAAACAGTCTTTCTGTGGAATCTGCAAGTGGATATTTGGATAGCTTGGAGGATTTCGTTGGAAACAGGATTACGTATAAAAAGTAGACAGCAGCATCCTCAGAAACTTCTTTGTGATGTGTGCATTCAAGTCACAGAGTTGAACATTCCCTTTCGTACAGCAGTTTTGAAATACTCTTTCTGTAGTAACTGGAAGTGAACATTAGGACAGCTTTCAGGTCTATGGTGAGAAAGGAAATATCTTCAAATAAAAACTAGACAGAAGCATTCTCATAAACTTGTTTGTGATGTGTGAACTCAGCTAACAGAGGTGGATCTTTCCTTTGATAGAGCAGTTCTGAAAAACACTTTTTGTTGAATCTGCAAGTGGACATTTGGATAGATTTGAAGATTTCGTTGGAAACGGGAATATCTTCATATCAAATCTAGACAGAAGCATTCTCAGAAACGTCTTTGTGATGTTTGCATTCAACTCACAGAGTTGAACATTCCCTTTCAGAGCGCAGCTTTGAAGCACTCTTTTTGTAGTATGTGCAAGGGGATATTTGGAGCGCTCTGAGGCCTACGGTGAAAAAGCAAATATCTTCCCATAACCACTAGACAGAAACATTCTCAGAAACTCCTTTATGACGTATGTACTCAACTAACAGAGAAGAACCCTCTTTTTGACAGAGCAGTTTTGATACACTCTTTTTGTAGAATCTGCAAGTGGATATTTGGATAGCTGTGAAGATTTCGTTGGAAACGGGAATATCTTCCTATAAAATCTAGACAGAAGCATTCTCAGAAACTGCTCTGTGATGTCTGCATTCAAGTCACAGAGTTGAACATTGCCTTTCATAGAGCAGGTTTGAAACGCTCTTTTTGTACTATATGGAAGAGGACGTTTCGAACGGTTTGAGGACCATGGTGATAAAGGGAATATCTTCCCCTACAAGCTAGAAAGAAGCATTCTGTGAAACTTGTTTGTGATGTGTGTACTCAACTAACAGAGTTGAACCTTTCTTTTCACAGAGCAGTTTTGAAACACTCTTTTTGTAGAATCTGCGAGGGGATATTTGGATACATTTCAGGATTTCGTTGGAAACGGGAATATCTTCATATAAAATCTCGACAGAAGCATTCTCAGAAACTTCTTTGTGATATCTGCATTACAGTCACAGAGTTGAATATTCCCTTTCACAGAGGAGGTTTGAAACACTCTTTTTATACTATCTGGAATTGGACATTGGAGCGCCTTGACGCCTACGGTGAAAAGGGAAATATCTTCCCATAAAAACTAGACAGAAGCAATCTCAGAATCTTCTTTGGGATATATGCACGCAGCTAACATAGTTGAACCTTTCTATTGACAGAACAGTTTTGAAACAGTGTTTCTGTGGAATCTGCAAGTGGATATTTGGATAGCTTGGAGGATTTCGTTGGAAACGGGATTACGTATAAAAAGTAGACAGCAGCATCCTCAGAAACTTCTTTGTGATGTGTGCATTCAAGTCACAGAGTTGAACATTCCCTTTCGTACAGCAGTTTTGAAACACTCTTTCTGTAGTATCTGGAAGTGAACATTAGGACAGCTTTCACTCTATGGTGAGAAGGGAAATATCTTCAAATAAAAACTAGACAGAAGCATTCTCAAAAACTTGTTTGTGAAGTGTGAACTCAGGTAACAGAGGTGGATCTTTATTTTGATAGAGCAGTTCTGAAAAACACTTTTTGTTGAATCTGCAAGTGGACATTTGGATAGATTTGAAGATTTCGTTGGAAACGGGAATATCTTCATATCAAATCTAGACAGAAGCATTCTCAGTAAACGTCTTTGTGATGTTTGCATTCAACTCATAGAGTTGAACATTCCGTTTCAGAGAGCAGCTTTGAAGCACTCTTTTTGTAGTATGTTCAAGTGGATATTTGGAGCGCTCTGAGGCCTACGGTGAAAAAGCAAATATCTTCCCATAACCACTAGACAGAAACATTCTCAGAAACTCCTTTATGATGTATGCACTCACCTAACAGAGAAGAACCTTCCTTTTGACAGAGTAGTTTTGATACACTCTTTTTGTAGAATCTGCAAGTGGATATTTGGATAGCTGTGAAGATTTCGTTGGAAACAGGGAATATCTTCCTATAAAATCTAGACAGAAGCATTCTCAGAAACTGCTCTGTGATGTCTGCATTCAAGTCACAGAGTTGAACATTGCCTTTCATAGAGCAGGTTTGAAACGCTCTTTTTGTACTATATGGAAGTGGACGTTTCGGACGGTTTGAGGCCCATGGTGATAAAGGGAATATCTTCCCCTACAAGCTAGAAAGAAGCATTCTGTGAAACTTGTTTGTGAAGTGTGTACTCAACTAACAGAGTTGAACCTTTCTTTTTACAGAGCAGTTTTGAAACACTCTTTTTGTAGAATCTGCGAGGGGATATTTGGATAGATTTCAGGATTTCGTTGGAAACGGGAATATCTTCATATAAAATCTCGACAGAAGCATTCTCAGAAACTTCTTTGTGATATGTGCATTCAAGTCACAAAGTTGAATATTCCCTTTCACAGAGTAGGTTTGAAACACTCTTTTTGTAGTATCTGGAAGTGGACATTTGGAGCGCCTTGACGCCTACGGTGAAAAGGGAAATATCTTCCCATAAAAACTAGACAGAAGCAATCTCAGAATCTTCTTTGGGATATATGCACGCAGCTAACAGAGTTGAACCTTTCTATAGACACAGCAGTTTTGAAACAGTCTTTCTGTGGAATCTGCAAGTGGATATTTGGATAGATTGGAGGATTTCGTTGGAAACGGGATTACGTATAAAAAGTAGACAGCAGCATCCTCAGAAACTTCTTTGTGATGTGTGCATTCAAGTCACAGAGTTGAACATTCCCTTTCGTACAGCAGTTTTGAAACACTCTTTCTGTAGTATCTGGAAGTGAACATTAGGACAGCTTACAGGTCTATGGTGAGAAAGGGAATATCTTCAAATAAAAACTAGACAGAAGCATTCTCATAAACTTGTTTGTGATGTGTGAGCTCAGCTAACAGAGGTGGATCTTTCTTTTGATAGAGCAGTTCTGAAAAACACATTTTGTTGAATCTGCAAATGGACATTTGTATAGATTTGAAGATTTCGTTGGAAACGGGAATATCTTCATATCAAATCTAGACAGAGGCATTCTCAGAAACGTCTTTGTGATGTTTGCATTCAACTCATAGAGTTGAACATTCCCTTTCAGAGAGCAGCTTTGAAGCACTCTTTTTGTAGTATGTGCAAGGGGATATTTGGAGCGCTCTGAGGCCTAAGGTGAAAAAGCAAATATCTTCCCATAACCACTAGACAGAAACATTTTCAGAAACTCCTTTATGACGTATGTACTCAACTAACAGAGAAGAACCTTCCTTTTGACAGAGCAGTTTTGATACACTCTTTTTGTAGGATCTGCAAGTGGATATTTGGATAGCTGTGAAGATTTCGTTGGAAACGGGAATATCTTCCTATAAAATCTAGACAGAAGCATTCTCCGAAACTGCTCTGTGATGTCTGCATTCAAGTCACAGAGTTGAACATTGCCTTTCATAGAGCAGGTTTGAAACGCTCTTTTTGTAGTATATGGAAGTGGACATTTCGGACGGTTTGAGGCCCATGGTGATAAAGGGAATATCTTCCCCTACAAGCTAGAAAGAAACATTCTCAGAAACTCCTTTATGACGTATGCACTCACCTAACAGAGAAGAACCTACCTTTTGACAGAGCAGTTTTCATACACTCTTTTTGTAGAATCTGCGAGGGGATATTTGGAGAGATTTCAGGATTTCGTTGGAAACGGGAATATCTTCATATAAAATCTCGACAGAAGCATTCTCAGAAACTTCTTTGTGATATCTGCATTCAAGTCACAGAGTTGAATATTCCCTTTCACAGAGTAGGTTTGAAACACTCTTTTTGTAGTATCTGGAAGTGGACATTTGGAGCGACTTGACGCCTACGGTGAAAAGGGAAATATCTTCCCATAAAAACTAGACAGAAGCAATCTCAGAATCTTCCTTGGGATATCTGCACGCAGCTAACAGAGTTGAACCTTTCTATTGACAGAGCAGTTTTGAAACAGTCTTTCTGTGGAATCTGCAAGTGGATATTTGGATAGATTGGAGGATTTCGTTGGAAACGGGATTACGTATAAAAAGTAGACAGCAGCATCCTCAGAAACTTCTTTGTGATGTGTGCATTCAAGTCACAGAGTTGAACATTCCCTTTCGTACAGCAGTTTTGAAACACTCTTTCTGTAGTAACTGGAAGTGAACATTAGGACAGCTTTCAGCTCTATGGTGAGAAAGGAAATATCTTCAAATAAAAACTAGACAGAAGCATTCTCATAAACTTGTTTGTGATGTGTGAACTCAGCTAACAGAGGTGGATCTTTCTTTTGATAGAGCAGTTCTGAAAAACACTTTTTGTTGAATCTGCAAGTGGACATTCGGATAGATTTGAAGATTTCGTTGGAAACGGGAATATCTTCATATCAAATCTAGACAGAAGCATTCTCAGAAACGTCTTTGTGATGTTTGCATTCAACTCATAGAGTTGAACATTCCCTTTCAGAGAGAAGCTTTGAAGCACTCTTTTTGTAGCATGTGCAAGTGGACATTTGGAGCGCCCTGAGGCCTACGGGGAAAAAGCAAATATCTTCCCATAACCACTAGACAGAAACATTCTCAGAAACTCCTTTATGACGTATGCACTCACCTAACAGAGAAGAACCTTTCTTTTGACTGAGCAGTTTTGATACACTCTTTTTGTAGAATCTGCAAGTGGATATTTGGATAGCTGTGAAGATTTCGTTGGAAACGGGAATATCTTCCTATAAAATCTAGACAGAAGCATTCTCAGAAACTGCTCTGTGATGTCTGCATTCAAGTCACAGAGTTGAACATTGCCTTTCATAGAGCAGGTTTGAAACGCTCTTTTTGTAGTATATGGAAGTGGATGTTTCGGACGGTTGGAGGCCCATGGTGATAAAGGGAAAATCTTCCCCTACAAGCTAGAAAGAAGCATTCTGTGAAACTTGTTTGTGATGTGTGTACTCAACTAACAGAGTTGAACCTTTCTTTTTACAGAGCAGTTTTGAAACACTCTTTTTGTAGAATCTGCGAGGGGATATTTGGATAGATTTCAGGATTTCGTTGGAAACGGGAATATCTATCATATAAAATCTCGACAGAAGCATTCTCAGAAACTTCTTTGTGATATGTGCATTAAAGTCACAGAGTTGAATATTCGCTTTCACAGAGTAGGTTTGAAACACTCTTTTTGTAGTATCTGGAAGTGGACATTTGGAGCGCCTTGACGCCTACGGTGAAAAGGGAAATATCTTCCCATAAAAACTAGACAGAAGCAATCTCAGAATCTTCTTTGGGATATATGCACGCAGCTAACAGAGTTGAACCTTTCTATTGACAGAGCAGTTTTGAAACACTCTTTCTGTGGAATCTGCAAGTGGATACTTGGATAGCTTGGAGGATTTCATTGGAAACGGGATTACGTATAAAAAGTAGACAGCAGCATCCTCAGAAACTTCTTTGTGATGTGTGCATTGAAGTCACAGAGTTGAACATTCCCTTTCGTACAGCAGTTTTGAAACACTCTTTCTTTAGTATCTGGAAGTGAACAATAGGACAGCTTTCAGGTCTATGGTGAGAAAGGAAATATCTTCAAATAAAAACTAGACAGAAGCATTCTCATAAACTTGTTTGTGATGTGTGAACTCAGCTAACGGACGTGGATCTTTCTTTTGATACAGCAGTTTTGAAAAACACTTTTTGTTGAATCTGCAAGTGGACATTTGGATAGATATGAAGATTTCGTTGGAAACGGGAATATCTTCATATCAAATCTAGACAGAAGCATTCTCAGAAACGTCTTTGCGATGTTTGCATTCAACTCATAGAGTTGAACATTCCCTTTGAGAGAGCAGCTTTGAAGCACTCTTTTTGTAGCATGTGCAAGTGGACATGTGGAGCGCCCTGAGGCCTACGGGGAAAAAGCAAATATCTTCCCATAACCACTAGACAGAAACATTCTCAGAAACTCCTTTATGACGTATGCACTCACCTAACAGAGAAGAACCTTCCTTTTGACAGAGCAGTTTTGATACACTCTTTTTGTAGAATCTGCAAGTGGATATTTGGGATAGCTGTGAAGATTTCGTTGGAAACGGGAATATCTTCCTATAAAATCTAGACAGAAGCATTCTCAGAAACTGCTCTGTGATGTCTGCATTCAAGTCACAGAGTTGAACATTGCCTTTCATAGAGCAGGTTTGAAATGCTCTTTTTGTAGTATCTGGAAGTGGACGTTTCAGACGGTTTGAGGCCGATGGTGATAAAGGGAATATCTTCCCCTACAAGCTAGAAAGAAGCATTCTGTGAAACTTGTTTGTGATGTGTGTACTCAACTAACAGAGTTGACCCTTTCTTTTCACAGAGCAGTTTTGAAACACTCTTTTTGTAGAATCTGCGAGGGGATATTTGGATAGATTTCAGGATTTCGTTGGAAACGGGAATATCTTCATATAAAATCTCGACAGAAGCATTCTCAGAAACTTCTTTGTGATATGTGCATTCAAGTCACAGAGTTGAATATTCCCTTTCACAGAGTAGGTTTGAAACACTCTTTTTGTAGTATCTGGAAGTGGACATTTGGAGCGCCTTGACGCCTACGGTGAAAAGGGAAATATCTTCACATAAAAACTAGACAGAAGCAATCTCAGAATCTTCTTTGGGATATATGCACGCAGCTAACAGAGTTGAACCTTTCTATTGACAGAGTAGTTTTGAAACAGTCCTTCTGTGGAATCTGCAAGTGGATATTTGGATAGCTTGGAGGATTTCGTTGGAAACGGGATTACGTATAAAAAGTAGACAGCAGCATCCTCAGAAACTCCTTTGTGATGTGTGCATTCAAGTCACAGAGTTGAACATTCCCTTTCGTACAGCAGTTTTGAAACACTCTTTCTGTAGTATCTGGAAGTGAACATTAGGACAGCTTTCAGGTCTATGGTGAGAAAGGAAATATCTTCAAATAAAAACTAGACGGAAGCATTCTCATAAACTTGTTTGTGATGTGTGAACTCAGCTAAGAGACGTGGATCTTTCTTTTGATAGAGCAGTTCTGAAAAACACTTTTTGTTGAATCTGCAAGTGGACATTTGGATAGATTTGAAGATTTCTTTGGAAACGGGAATATCTTCATATCAAATCTAGACAGAAGCATTCTCAGAAACGTCTTTGCGATGTTTGCATTCAACTCATAGAGTTGAACATTCCCTTTCAGAGAGCAGCTTTGAGGCACTCTTTTTGTAGTATGTGCAAGTGGATATTTGGAGCGCTCTGAGGCCTACGGTGAAAATGCAAATATCTTCCCATAACCACTAGACAGAAACATTCTGAGAAACTCCTTTATGACGTATGCACTCACCTAACAGAGAAGAACCTTCCTTTTGACAGAGCAGTTTTGATACACTCTTTTTGTAGAATCTGCAAGTGGATATTTGGATAGCTGTGAAGATTTCGTTGGAAACGGGAATATCTTCCTATAAAATCTAGACAGAAGCATTCTCAGAAACTGCTCTGTGATGTCTGCATTCAAGTCACAGAGTTGAACATTGCCTTTCATAGAGCAGGTTTGAAACGCTCTTTTTGTAGTATATGGAAGTGGACTTTTCGGACGGTTTGAGGCCCATGGTGATAAAGGGAATATCTTCCCCTACAAGCTAGAAAGAAGAAGCATTCTGTGAAACTTGTTTGTGATGTGTGTACTCAACTAACAGAGTTGAACCTTTCTTTTCACAGAGCAGTTTTGAAACACTCTTTTTGTAGAATCTGCGAGGGGATATTTGGATAGATTTCAGGATTTCGTTGGAAACGGGAATATCTTCATACAAAATCTCGACAGAAGCATTCTCAGAAACTTCATTGTGATATCTGCATTCAAGTCACAGAGCGGAATATTCCCTTTCACAGAGTAGGTTTGAAACACTCTTTTTGTAGTATCTGGAAGTGGACATTTGGAGCGCCTTGACACCTATGGTGAAAAGGGAAATATCTTCCCGTAAAAACTAGACAGAAGCAATCTCAGAATCTTCTTTGGGATATATGCACGCAGCTAACAGAGTTGAACCTTTCTATTGACAGAGCAGTTTTGAAACAGTCTTTCTGTAGAATCTGCAAGTGGATATTTGGATAGCTTGGAGGATTTCGTTGGAAACGGGATTACGTATAAAAAGTAGACAGCAGCATCCTCAGAAACTTCTTTGTGATGTGTGCATTCAAGTCACAGAGTTGAACATTCCCTTTCGTACATCAGTTTTGAAACGCTCTTTCTGTAGTATCTGGAAGTGAACATTAGGACAGCTTTCAGGTCTATGGTGAGAAAGGAAATATCTTCAAATAAAAACTAGACAGAAGCATTCTCATAAACTTGTTTGTGATGTGTGAACTCAGCTAACAGACGTGGATCTTTCTTTTGATACAGCAGTTTTGAAAAACACTTTTTGTTGAAATCTGCAAGTGGACATTTGGATAGATTTGAAGATTTCGTTGGAAACGGGAATATCTTCATATCAAATCTAGACAGAAGCATTCTCAGAAACGTCTTTGTGATGTTTGCATTCAACTCATAGAGTTGAACATTCCCTTTCAGAGAGCAGCTTTGAAGCACTCTTTTTGTAGCATGTGCAAGTGGACATTTGGAGCGCCCTGAGGCATACGGGGAAAAAGCAAATATCTTCCCATAACCACTAGACAGAAACATTCTCAGAAACTCCTTTATGACGTATGCACTCACCTAACAGAAAAGAACCTTCCTTTTGACAGAGCAGTTTTGATACACTCTTTTTGTAGAATCTGAAAGTGGATATTTGGAGCGCTCTGAGGCCTACGGTGAAAAAGCAAATATCTTCCCATAACCACTAGACAGAAGCATTCTCAGAAACTGCTCTGTGATGTCTGCATTCAAGTCACACAGTTGAACATTGCCTTTCATGGAGCAGGTTTGAAACGCTCTTTTTGTAGTATATGGAAGTGGACGTTTCGGACGGTTTGAGGCCCATGGTGATAAAGGGAATATCTTCCCCTACAAGCTAGAAAGAAGCATTCTGTGAAACTTGTTTGTGATGTGTGTACTCAACTAACAGAGTTGAACCTTTCTTTTTACAGAGTAGTTTTGAAACACTCTTTTTGTAGAATCTGCGAGGGGATATTTGGAAACATTTCAGCATTTCGTTGGAAACGGGAATATCTTCATATAAAATCTCGACAGAAGCATTCTCAGAAACTTCCTTGTGATATGTGCATTCAAGTCACAGAGTTGAATATTCCCTTTCACAGAGTAGGTTTGAAACACTCTTTTTGTAGTATCTGGAAGTGGACATTTGGAGCGCCTTGACGCCTACGGTGAAAAGGGAAATATCTTCCCATAAAAACTAGACAGAAGCAATCTCAGAATCTTCTTTGGGATTTATGCACGCCGCTAACAGAGTTGAACCTTTCTATTGACAGAGCAGTTTTGAAACAGTCTTTCTGTGGAATCTGCAAGTGGATATTTGGATAGCTTGGAGGATTTCGTTGGAAACGGGATTACGTATAAAAAGTAGACAGCAGCATCCTCAGAAACTTCTTTGTGATGTGTGCATTCAAGTCACAGAGTTGAACATTCCCTTTCGTACAGCAGTTTTGAAACACTCTTTCTGTAGTATCTGGAAGTGAACATTAGGACAGCTTTCAGGTCTATGGTGAGAAAGGAAATATCTTCAAATAAAAACTAGACGGAAGCATTCTCATAAACTTGTTTGTGATGTGTGAACTCAGCTAACAGAGGTGGATCTTTCTTTTGATAGAGCAGTTCTGAAAAACACATTTTGTTGAATCTGCAAGTGGACATTTGGATAGATTTGAAGATTTCGTTGGAAACGGGAATATCTTCATATCAAATCTAGACAGAAGCATTCCCAGAAACGTCTTTGTGATGTTTGCATTCAACTCATAGAGTTGAACATTCCCTTTCAGAGAGCAGCTTTGAAGCACTCTTTTTGTAGGATTTGTAAAGGGATATTTGGAGCGCTCTGAGGCCTAAGGTGAAAAAGCAAATATCTTCCCATAACCACTAGACAGAAACATTCTCAGAAACTCGTTTATGACGTATGCACTCACCTAACAGAGAAGAACCTTCCATTTGACAGAGCAGTTTTGATACACTCTTTTTGTAGAATCTGCAAGTGGATATTTGGATAGCTGTGAAGATTTTGCTGGAAACGGGAATATCTTCCTATAAAATCTAGACAGAAGCATTCTCAGAAACTGCTCTGTGATGTCTGCATTCAAGTCACAGAGTTGAACATTGCCTTTCCTAGAGCAGGTTTGAAACGCTCTTTTTGTAGTATATGGAAGTAGACGTTTCGGACGGTTTGAGGCCCATGGTGATAAAGGGAATATCTTCCCCTACAAGCTAGAAAGAAGCATTCTGTGAAACTTGTTTGTGATGTGTGTACTCAACTAATAGAGTTGAACCATTCTTTTTACAGAGCAGTTTTGAAACACTCTTTTTGTAGAATCTGCGAGGGGATATTTGGATAGATTTCAGGATTTCGTTGGAAACGGGAATATCTTCATATAAAATCTCGACAGAAGCATTCTCCGAAACCTCTTTGTGATATATGCATTGAAGTTACAGAGTTGAATATTCCCTTTCACATAGCAGGTTTGAAACACTCTTTTTGTAGTATCTGGAAGTGGACATTGGGAGCGCTTTGACGTCTATGGTGAAAAAGGAAATATCTTCCCATAAAAACTACACAGAGGCAATCTCAGAATCTTCTTTGGGATGTATGCATGCAGCTAACAGAGTTGAACCTTTCTATTGACAGAGCAGTTTTGAAACAGTCTTTTTGTGGAATCTGCAAGTGGATATTTGGATAGCTTGGAGGATTTCATTGGAAACGGGATTACATATAAAAAGTAGACAGCAGCATCCTCAGAAACTTCTTTGTGATGTGTGCATTCAAGTCACAGAGTTGAACATTCCCTTTCGTACAGCAGTTTTGAAACACTCTTTCTGTAGTATCTGGAAGTGAACATTAGGACAGCTTTCAGCTCTATGGTGAGAAAGGAAATATCTTCAAATAAAAACTAGACAGGAAGCATTCTCATAAACTTGTTTGTGATGTCTGAACTCAGCTAACAGAGGTGGATCTTTCTTTTGATAGAGCAGTTCTGAAAAACACTTTTTGTTGAATCTGCAAGTGGACATTTGGATAGATTTGAAGATTTAGTTGGAAACGGGAATATCTTCATATCAAATCTAGACAGAAGCATTCTCAGAAACGTCTTTGCGATGTTTGCATTCAACTCATAGAGTTGAACATTCCGTTTCAGAGAGCAGCTTTGAGGCACTCTTTTTGTAGTATGTGCAAGTGGATATTTGGAGCGCTCTGAGGCCTACGGTGAAAAAGCAAATATCTTCCCATAACCACTAGACAGAAACATTCTCAGAAACTCCTTTATGACGTATGCACTCACCTAAGAGAGAAGAACCTTCCTTTTGACAGAGCAGTTTTGATACACTCTTTTTGTAGAATCTGCAAGTGGATATTTGGATAGCTGTGAAGATTTCGTTGGAAACGGGAATATCTTCCTATAAAATCTACACAGAAGCATTCTCAGTAACTGCTCTGTGATGTCTGCATTCAAGTCACAGAGTTGAACATTGCCTTTCATAGAGCAGGTTTGAAACGCTCTTTTTGTAGTATATGGAAGTGGATGTTTCGGACGGTTGGAGGCCCATGGTGATAAAGGGAATATCTTCCCCTACAAGCTAGAAAGAAGCATTCTGTGAAACTTGTTTGTGATGTGTGTACTCAAATAACAGAGTTGAACCTTTCTTTTTACAGAGCAGTTTTGAAACATTCTTTTTGTAGAATCTGCGAGGGGATATTTGGATAGATTTCAGGATTTCGTTGGAAACGGGAATATCTTCATATAAAATCTCGACAGAAGCATTCTCAGAAACTTCTTTGTGATATGTGCATTCGAGTCACAGAGTTGAATATTCCCTTTCACAGAGTAGGTTTGAAACACTCTTTTTGTAGTATCTGGAAGTGGACATTTGGAGCGCCTTGACACCTACGGTGAAAAGGGAAATATCTTCCCATAAAAACTAGACAGAAGCAATCTCAGAATCTTCTTTGGGATATATGCACGCAGCTAACAGAGTTAAACCTTTCTATTGACAGAGCAGTTTTGAAACAGTCTTTCTGTGGAATCTGCAAGTAGATATTTGGATAGCTTGGAGGATTTCGTTGGAAACGGGATTACAGATATAAAAAGCTAGACAGCAGCATCCACAGAAACTTCCTTGTAATGTGTGCATTCAAGTCACAGAGTTGAACATTCCCTTTCGTACAGCAGTTTTGAAACACTCTTTCTGAAGTATCTGGAAGTGAACTTTAGGAGAGCTTTCATGTCTATAGTGAGAAAGGCTATATCTTCAAATAAAAAATAGACAGAAGCATTTTCATAAACTTGTTTGTGATGTGTGAACTCAGCTAACAGAGGTGGATCTTTCTTTTGATAGAGCAGTTCTGAAAAACACTTTTTGTTGAATCTGCAAGTGGACATTTGGATAGATTTGAAGATTTCGTTGGAAACGGGAATATCTTCATATCAAATCTAGACAGAAGCATTCTCAGAAACGTCTTTGTGATGTTTGCATTCAACTCATAGAGTTGAACATTCCGTTACAGAGAGCAGCTTTGAGGCACTCTTTTTGTAGTATGTGCAAGTGGATATTTGGAGCGCTCTGAGGCCTACGGTGAAAAAGCAAATATCTTCCCATAACCACTAGACAGAAACATTCTCAGAAACTGCTTTATGAAGTATGCACTCACCTAACAGAGAAGAACCTTCCTTTTGACAGAGCAGTTTTGATACACTCTTTTTGTAGAATCTGCAAGTGGATATTTGGATAGCTGTGAAGATTTCGTTGGAAACGGGAATATCTTCCTATAAAATCTAGACAGAAGCATTCTCAGAAACTGCTCTGTGATGTCTGCATTCAAGTCACAGAGTTGAACATTGCCTTTCCTAGAGCAGGTTTGAAACGCTCTTTTTGTAGTATATGGAAGTGGACGTTTCGGACGGTTTTAGGTCCATGGTGATAAAGGGAATATCTTCCCCTACAAGCTAGAAAGAAGCATTCTGTGAAACTTGTTTGTGATGTGTGTACTCAACTAAGAGGGTTGAACCTTTCTTTTTACAGAGCAGTTTTGAAACACTCTTTTTGTAGAATCTGCGAGGGGATATTTGGATAGATTTCAGGATTTCGTTGGAAACGGGAATATCTTCATATAAAATCTCGACAGAAGCATTCTCAGAAACTTCTTTGTGATATGTGCATTCAAGTCACAGAGTTGAATATTCCCTTTCACAGAGTAGGTTTCAAACACTCTTTTTGTAGTATCTGGAAGTGGAAATTTGGAGCGCCTCGACGCCTACGGTGAAAAGGGAAATATCTTCCCATAAAAACTAGACAGAAGGAATCTCAGAATCTGCTTTGGGATATATGCACGCAGCTAACAGAGTTGAACCTTTCTATTGACAGAGCAGTTTTGAAACAGTCTTTCTGTGGAATCTGCAAGTGGATATTTAGATAGCTTGGAGGATTTCGTTGGTAACGGGATTACGTATAAAAATTAGACAGCAGCATCCTCAGAAACTTCTTTGTGATGTGTGCATTCAAGTCACAGAGTTGAACATTCCCTTTCGTACAGCAGTTTTGAACCACTCTTTCTGTAGTATCTGGAAGTGAACATTAGGAAAGCTTTCAGGTCTATGGTGAGAAAGGAAATATCTTCAAATAAAAACTAGACAGAAGCATTCTCATTAACTTGTTTGTGATGTGTGAACTCAGCTAACAGAGGTGGATCTTTCTTTTGATAGAGCAGTTCTGAAAAACATTTTTTGTTGAATCTGCAGGTGGACATTTGGATAGATTTGAAGATTTCGTTGGAAACGGGAATATCTTCATATCAAATCTAGACAGAAGCATTCTCAGAAACGTCTTTGTGATGTTTGCATTCAACTCATAGAGTTGAACATTCCCTTTCAGAGAGCAGCTTTGAAGCACTCTTTTTGTAGCATGTGCAAGTGGACATTTGGAGGGCCCTGAGGCCTACGGGGAAAAAGCAAATATCTTCCCATAACCACTAGACAGAAACATTCTCAGAAACTCCTTTATGACGTATGCACTCACCTAACAGAGAAGAACCTTCCTTTTGACAGAGCAGTTTCGATACACTCTTTTTGTAGAATCTGCAAGTGGATATTTGGATAGCTGTGAAGATTTCGTTGGAAACGGGAATATCTTCCTATAAAATCTAGACAGAAAGCATTCTCAGAAACTGCTCTGTGATGTCTGCATTCAAGTCACAGAGTTGAACATTGCCTTTCATAGAGCAGGTTTGAAACGCTCTTTTTGTAGTATATGGAAGTGGATGTTTCGGACGGTTTGAGGCCCATGGTGATAAAGGGAATATCTTCCCCTACAAGCTAGAAAGAAGCATTCTGTGAAACTTGTTTGTGATGTGTGTACTCAACTAACAGAGTTGAACCTTTCTTTTTACAGAGCAGTTTTGAAACACTCTTTTTGTAGAATCTGCAAGGGGATATTTGGATAGATTTCAGGATTTCGTTGGAAACGGGAATATCTTCATATAAAATCTCGACAGAAGCATTCTCAGAAGCTTCGTTGTGATATGTGCATTCAAGTCACAGAGTTGAATATTCCCTTTCACAGAGTAGGTTTGAAACACACTTTTTGTAGTATCTGGAAGTGGACATTTGGAGCGCCTTGATGCCTACGGTGAAAAGGGAAATATCTTCTCATAAAAAGTAGACAGAAGCAATCTCAGAATCTTCTTTGGGATATATGCACGCAGCTAACAGAGTTGAACCTTTCTATTGACAGAGCAGTTTTGAAACAGTCTTTCTGTGGAATCTGCAAGTGGATATTTGGATAGCTTGGAGGTTTTCTTTAGAAACGGGATTACGTATAAAAAGTAGACTGCAGCCTCCTCAGAAACTTCTTTGTGATGTGTGTATTCAAGTCACAGAGTTGAACATTCCCTTTCGTACAGCAGTTTTGAAACACTCTTTCTGTAGTATCTGGAAGTGAACATTAGGACAGCTTTCAGGTCTATGGTGAGAAAGGAAATATCTTCAAATAAAAACTAGACAGAAGCATTCTGATAAACTTGTTTGTGAAGTGTGAACTCAGCTAACAGAGTTGGATCTTTCTTTCGACACAGCAGTTTTGAAAAACACTTTTTGTTGAATCTGCAAGTAGACATTTGGATAGATTTGAAGATTTCGTTGAAAACGGGAATATGTTCATTTCAAATCTAGACAGAAGCATTCTCAGAAACGTCTTTGTGATGTTTGCATTCAACTCATAGAGTTGAACATTCCCTTTCAGAGAGCAGCTTTGAAGCACTGTTTTTGTAGTATGTGCAAGTGGACATTTGGAGCGCTTTGAGCCCTACGGGGAAAAAGCAAATATCTTCCCGTAACCACTAGACAGAAACATTCTCAGAAACTCCTTTATGATGTATGCACTCACCTAACAGAGAAGAACCTTCCTTTTGACAGAGCAGTTTTGATACACTCTTTTTGTAGAATCTGCAAGTGGATATTTGGATAGCTGTGAAGATTTCGTTGGAAACAGGGAATATCTTCCTATAAAATCTAGACAGAAGCATTCTCAGAAACTGCTCTGTGATGTCTGTATTCAAGTCACAGAGTTGAACATTGCCTTTCATAGAGCAGGTTTGAAACGCTCTTTGTGTAGTATATGGAAGTGGATGTTTCGGACGGTTGGAGGCCCATGGTGATAAAGGGAATATCTTCCCCTACAAGCTAGAAAGAAGCATTCTGTGAAACTTGTTTGTGATGTGTGTACTCAACTAACAGAGTTGAACCTTTCTTTTTACAGAGCAGTTTTGAAACACTATTTTTGTAGAATCTGCGAGGGGATATTTGGATAGATTTCAGGATTTCTTTGGAAACGGGAATATCTTCATATAAAATCTCGACAGAAGCATTCTCAGAAGCTTCTTTGTGATATGTGCATTCAAGTCACAGAGTTCAATATTCCCTTTCACAGAGTAGGTTTGAAACACTCTTTTTGTAGTATCTGGAAGTGGACATTTGGAGCGCCTTGACGCCTACGGTGAAAAGGGAAATATCTTCTCATAAAAAGTAGACAGAAGCAATCTCAGAATCTTCTTTGGGATATATGCACGCTGCTAACAGAGTTGAACCTTTCTATTGACAGAGCAGTTTTGAAACAGTCTTTCTGTGGAATCTGCAAGTGGATATTTGGATAGCTTGGAGGATTTCGTTGGAAACGGGATTACGTATAAAAATTAGACAGCAGCATCCTCAGAAACTTCTTTGTGATGTGTGCATTCAAGTCACAGAGTTGAACATTCCCTTTCGTACAGCAGTTATGAAACACTCTTTCTGTAGTATCTGGAAGTGAACATTAGGACAGCTTTCAGGTCTATGGTGAGAAAGGAAATATCTTCAAATAAAAACTAGACAGAAGCATTCTCATAAACTTGTTTGTGATGTGTGAACTCAGCTAACAGAGGTGGATCTTTCTTTTGATAGAGCAGTTCTGAAAAACACGTTTTGTTGAATCTGCAAGTGGACATTTGGATAGATTTGAAGATTTCGTTGGAAACGGGAATATCGTCATATCAAATCTAGAAAGAAGCATTCTCAGAAACGTCTTTGTGATGTTTGCATTCAACTCATAGAGTTGAACATTCCGTTTCAGAGACCAGCTTTGAAGCACTCTTTTTGTAGTATGTGCAAGTGGATATTTGGAGCGCTCTGAGGCCTACGGTGAAAAAGCAAATATCTTCCCATAACCACTAGACAGAAACATTCTCAGAAACTCCTTTATGAAGTATGTACTCAACTAACAGAGAAGAACCTTCCTTTTGACAGAGCAGTTTTGATACACTCTTTTTGCAGAATCTGCAAGTGGATATTTGGATAGCTGTGAAGATTTCGTTGGAAACGGGAATATCTTCCTATAAAATCTAGACAGAAGCATTCTCAGAAACTGCTCTGTGATGTCTGCATTCAACTCACAGAGTTGAACATTGCCTTTCATAGAGCAGGTTTGAAACACTCTTTTTGTAGCATATGGAAGTGGACGTTTCGGACGGTTTGAGGCCCATGGTGATAAAGGGAATATCTTCCCCTACAAGCTAGAAAGAAGCATTCTGTGAAACTTGTTTGTGATGTGTGTACTCAACTAACAGAGTTGAACCTTTCTTTTTACAGAGCAGTTTTGAAACACTCTTTTTGTAGAATCTGCGAGGGGATATTTGGATAGATTTCAGGATTTCGTTGGAAAGGGGAATATCTTCATATAAAATCTCGACAGAAGCATTCTCAGAAACTTCTTTGTGATATCTGCATTCAAGTCACAGAGTTGAATATTCCCTTTCACAGAGTAGGTTTGAAACACTCTTTTTGTAGTGTCTGGAAGTGGGCATTTGGAGCGCTTTGACGCCTACGGTGAAAAGGGAAATATCTTCCCATAAAAACTAGACAGAAGCAATCTCAGAATCTTCTTTGGGATATATGCACGCAGCTAACAGAGTTGAACCTTTCTATTGGCAGAGCAGTTTTGAAACAGTCTTTCTGTGGAATCTGCAAGTGGATATTTGGATAGCTTGGAGGATTTCGTTGGAAACGGGATTAAGTATAAAAAGTAGACAGCAGCATCCTCAGAAACTTCTTTGTGATGTGTGCATTCAAGTCACAGAGTTGAACATTCCCTTTCGTACAGCAGTTTTGAAACACTCTTTCTGTAGTAACTGGAAGTGAACTTTAGGACAGCTTTCAGGTCTATGGTGAGAAAGGAAATATCTTCAAATAAAAACTAGACAGAAGCATTCTCATAAACTTGTTTGTGATGTGTTAACTCAGCTAACAGAGGTGGATCTTTCTTTTGATAGAGCAGTTCTGAAAAACACTTTTTGTTGAATCTGCAAGTGGACATTTGGATAGATTTGAAGATTTCTTTGGAAACGGGAATACCTTCATATCAAATCTAGACAGAAGCATTCTCAGAAACGTCTTTGTGATGTTTGCATTCAACTCATAGAGTTGAACATTCCGTTTCAGAGAGCAGCTTTGAGGCACTCTTTTTGTAGTATGTGCAAGTGGATATTTGGAGCGCCTCTGAGGCCTACGGTGAAAAAGCAAATATCTTCCCATAACCACTAGACAGAAACATTCTCAGAAACTCCTTTATGACGTATGCACTCACCTAACAGAGAAGAACCTTCCTTTTGAAAGAGCAGTTTTGATACACTCTTTTTGTAGAATCTGCAAGTGGATACTTGGATAGCTGTGAAGATTTCGTTGGAAACGGGAATATCTTCCTATAAAATCTAGACAGAAGCATTCTCAGAAACTGCTCTGTGATGTCTGCATTCAAGTCACAGAGTTGAACATTGCCTTTCATAGAGCAGGTTTGAAACGCTCTTTTTGTAGTATATGGAAGTGGACTTATCGGACGGTTTGAGGCCCATGGTGATAAAGGGAATATCTTCCCCTACAAGCTAGAAAGAAGCATTCTGTGAAACTTGTTTGTGATGTGTGTACTCAACTAACAGAGTTGAACCTTTCTTTTTAAAGAGCAGTTTTGAAACACTCTTTTTGTAGAATCTGCGAGGGGATATTTGGATAGATTTCAGCATTTCGTTGGAAACGGGAATATCTTCATATAAAATCTCGACAGAAGCATTCTCAGAAACTTCTTTGTGATATGTGCATTCAAGTCACAGAGTTGAATATTCCCTTTCACAGAGTAGGTTTGAAACACTCTTTTTGTAGTATCTGGAAGTGGACATTTGGAGCGCCTTGACGCCTACGGTGAAAAGGGAAATATCTTCCCATAAAAACTAGACAGAAGCAATCTCAGAATCTTCTTTGGGATATATGCACGCAGCTAACAGAGTTGAACCTTTCTATTGACAGAGCAGTTTTGAAACAGTCTTTCTGTGGAATCTGCAAGTGGATATTTGGATAGCTAGGAGGATTTCTTTGGAAACGAGATTACGTATAAAAAGTAGACAGCAGCATCCTCAGAAACTTCTTTGTGATGTGTGCATTCAAGTCACAGAGTTGAACATTCCCTTTCGTACAACAGTTTTGAAACACTCTTTCTGCAGTATCTGGAAGTGAACATTAGGACAGCTTTCAGGTCTATGGTGAGAAAGGAAATATCTTCAAATAAAAACTAGACAGAAGCATTCTCATAAACTTGTTTGTGATGTGTGAACTCAGCTAACACACGTGGATCTTTCTTTTGATAGAGCAGTTCTGAAAAACAATTTTTGTTGAATCTGCAAGTGGACATTTGGATAGATTTGAAGATTTCCTTGGAAACGGGAATATCTTCATATCAAATCTAGACAGAAGCATTCTCAGAAACGTCTTTGCGATGTTTGCATTCAACTCATAGAGTTGAACATTCCGTTTCAGAGAACAGCTTTGAGGCACTCTTTTTGTAGTATGTGCAAGTGGATATTTGGAGCGCTCTGAGGCCTACGGTGAAAAAGCAAATATCTTCCCATAACCACTAGACAGAAACATTCTCAGAAACTCCTTTATGACGTATGCACTCACCTAACAGAGAAGAACCTTTCTTTTGACAGAGCAGTTTTGATACACTCTTTTTGTAGAATCTGCAAGTGGATATTTGGATAGCTGTGAAGATTTCGTTGGAAACGGGAATATCTTCCTATAAAATCTAGACAGAAGCATTCTCAGAAACTGCTCTGTGATGTCTGCATTCAAGTCACAGAGTTGAACATTGCCTTTCATAGAGCAGGTTTGAAACGCTCTTTTTGTAGTATATGGAAGTGGATGTTTCGGACGGTTGGAGGCCCATGGTGATAAAGGGAATATCTTCCGCTACAAGCTAGAAAGAAGCATTGTGTGAAACTTGTTTGTGATGTGTGTACTCAACTAACAGAGTTGAACGTTTGTTTTTACAGAGCAGTTTTGAAACACTCTTTGTGTAGAATCTGCGAGGGGATATTTGGATACATTTCAGGATTTCGTTGGAAACGGGAATATCTTCATATAAAATCTCGACAGAAGCATTCTCAGAAGCTTCTTTGTGATATGTGCATTCAAGTCACAGAGTTGAATATTCCCTTTCACAGAGTAGGTTTGAAGCACTCTTTTTGTAGTATCTGGAAGTGGACATTTGGAGCGCCTTGACGCCTACGGTGAAAAGGGAAATATCTTCTCATAAAAAGTAGACAGAAGCAATCTCAGAATCTTCTTTGGGATATATGCACGCAGCTAACAGAGTTGAACCTTTCTATTGACATAGCAGTTTTGAAACAGTCTTTCTGTGGAATCTGCAAGTGGATATTTGGATAGCTTGGAGGATTTCGTTGGAAACGGGATTACGTATAAAAAGTACACAGCAGCATCCTCAGAAACTTCCTTGTGATGTGTGCATTCAAGTCACAGAGTTGAACATTCCCTTTCGTACAGCAGTTTTGAAACACTCTTTCTGTAGTATCTGGAAGTGAACATTAGGACAGCTTTCAGGTCTATGGTGAGAAAGGAAATATCTTCAAATAAAAACTAGACAGAAGCATTCTCATAAACTTGTTTGTGATGTGTGAACTGAGCTAACAGAGGTGGATCTTTCTTTTGATAGAGCAGTTCTGAAAAACACTTTTTGTTGAATCTGCAAGTGGACATTTGGATAGATTTGAAGATTTCGTTGGAAACGGGAATATCTTCATATCAAATCTAGACAGAAGCATTCTCAGAAACGTCTTTGTGATGTTTGCATTCAACTCATAGAGTTGAACATTCCCTTTCAGAGAGCGGCTTTGAAGCACTCTTTTTGTAGCATGTGCAAGTGGACATTTGGAGGGCCCTGAGGCCTACGGGGAAAAAGCAAATATCTTCCCATAACCACTAGACAGAAACATTCTCAGAAACTCCTTTAAACGTATGCACACACCTAACAGAGAAGAACCTTCCTTTTGACAGAGCAGTTTTGATACACTCTTTTTGTAGAATCTGCAAGTGGATATTTGGATAGCTGTGAAGATTTCGTTGGAAACGGGAATATCTTCCTATAAAATCTAGACAGAAGCATTCTCAGAAAGTGCTCTGTGATGTCTGCATTCAAGTCACAGAGTTGAACATTGCCTTTCATAGAGCAGGTTTGAAACACTCTTTTTGTAGTATATGGAAGTGGACGTTTCGGACGGTTTGAGGCCCATGGTGATAAAGGGAATATCTTCCCCTACAAGCTAGAAAGAAGCATTCTGTGAAACTTGTTTGTGATGTGTGTACTCAACTAACAGACTTGAACCTTTCTTTTTACAGAGCAGTATTGAAACACTCTTTTTGAAGAATCTGCGAGGGGATATTTGGATAGATTTCAGGATTTCGTTGGAAACGGGAATATCTTCATATAAAATCTCGACAGAAGCATTCTCAGAAACTTCCTTGTGATATGTGCATTCAAGTCACAGAGTTGAATATTTCCTTTCACAGAGTAGGTTTGAAACACTCTTTTTGTAGTATCTGGAAGTGGACATTTGGAGCGCCTTGACGCCTACGGTGAAAAGGGAAATATCTTCCCATAAAAACTAGACAGAAGCAATTTCAGAATCTTCTTTGGGATATATGTACGCAGCTAATAGAGTTGAACCTTTCTATTGACAGAGCAGTTTTGAAACAGTCTTTCTGTGGAATCTGCAAGTGGATATTTGGATAGCTTGGAGGATTTCGTTGGAAACGGGATTACGTATAAAAAGTAGACAGCAGCATCCTCAGAAACTTCTTTGTGATGTGTGCATTCAAGTCACAGAGTTGAACATTCCCTTTCATACAGCAGTTTTGAAACACTCTTTCTGTAGTATCTGGAAGTGAACTTTAAGAGAGCTTTCAGGTATATAGTGAGAAAGGATATATCTTCAAATAAAAACTAGACAGAAGCATTCTCATAAACTTGTTCGTGATGTGTGAACTCAGCTAACACACGTGGATCTTTCTTTTGATAGAGCAGTTCTGAAAAACCCTTTTTGTTGAATCTGCAAGAGGACATTTGGATAGATTTGAAGATTTCGTTGGAAACGGGAATATCTTCATATCAAATCTAGACAGAAGCATTCTCAGAAACGTCTTTGTGATGTTTCAATTAAACTCATGGAGTTGAACATTCCCTTTCAGAGAGTAGCTTTGAAGCACTCTTTTTGTAGTATGTGCAAGTAGATATTTGGAGCGCTCTGAGGCCTACGGGGAAAAAGCAAATATCTTCCCATAACCACTAGACAGAAACATTCTCAGAAACTCCTTTATGACGTATGCACTCACCTAACAGAGAAGAACCTTCCTTTTGACAGAGCACTTTTGATACACTCTTTTTGTAGAATCTGAAAGTGGATATTTGGATAGCTGTGAAGATTTCGTTGGAAACGGGAATATCTTCCTATAAAATCTAGACAGAAGCATTCTCAGAAACTGCTCTGTGATGTCTGCATTCAAGTCACAGAGTTGAACATTGCCTTTCATAGAGCAGGTTTGAAACGCTCTTTTTGTAGTATATGGAAGTGGACTTTTCGGACGGTTTGAGGCCCATGGTGATAAAGGGAATATCTTCCCCTACAAAGCTAGAAAGAAGCATTCTGTGAAACTTGTTTGTGATGTGTGTACTCAACTAACAGAGTTGAACCTTTCTTTTTACAGAGCAGTTTTGAAATACTCTTTTTGTAGAATCTGCGAGGGGATATTTGGATAGATTTCAGGATTTCGTTGGAAACGGGAATATCTTAATATAAAATCTCGACAGAAGCATTCTCAGAAACTGCTCTGTGATGTCTGCATTCAAGTCACAGAGTTGAATATTCCCTTTCACAGAGTAGGTTTGAAACACTCTTTTTGTAGTATCTGGAAGTGGACATTTTGAGCGCCTTGACACCTATGGTGAAAAGGGAAATATCTTCCCATAAAAACTAGACAGAAACAATCTCAGAATCTTCTTTGGGATATATGCACGCAGCTAACAGAGTTGAACCTTTCTATTGACAGAGCAGTTTTGAAACAGTCTTTCTGTGGAATCTGCAAGTGGATATTTGGATAGCTTGGAGGATTTCGTTGGAAACGGGATTAGGTATAAAAAGTAGACAGCAGCATCCTCAGAAACTTCTTTGTGATGTGTGCATTCAAGTCACAGAGTTGAATATTCCTTTTCGTACAGCAGTTTTGAAAAACTCTTTCTGTAGTATCTGGAAGTGAACATTAGGACAGCATTCAGGTCTATGGTGAGAAAGGAAATATCTTCAAATAAAAACTACACAGAAGCATTCTCATAAACTTGTTTGTGATGTGTGAACTCAGCTAACAGAGGTGGATCTTTCTTTTGATAGAGCAGTTCTGAAAAACACTTTTTGTTGAATCTGCAAGTGGACCTTTGGATAGATTTGAAGATTTCGTTGGAAACGGGAATATCTTCATATCAAATCTAGACAGAAGCATTCTCAGAAACGTCTTTGTGATGTTTGCATTCAACTCATAGAGTTGAACATTCCCTTTCAGAGAGCAGCTTTGAAGCACTCTTTTTGTAGTATGTGCAAGTGGATATTTGGAGCGCTCTGAGGCCTACGGTGAAAAAGCAAATATCTTCCCATAACCACTAGACAGAAACATTCTCAGAAACTCCTTTATGACGTATGCACTCACCTAACAGTAGAAGAACCTTCCTTTTGACAGAGCAGTTTTGATACACTCTTTTTGTAGAATCTGCAAGTGGATATTTGGATAGCTGTGAAGATTTCGTTGGAAACGGGAATATCTTCCTATAAAATCTAGACAGAAGCATTCTCAGAAACTGCTCTGTGATGTCTGCATTCAAGTCACAGAGTTGAACATTGCCTTTCATAGAGCAGGTTTGAAACGCTCTTTTTGTAGTATATGGAAGTGGAAGTTTCGGTCGGTTTGAGGCCCATGGTGATAAAGGGAATATCTTCCCCTACAAGCTAGAAAGAAGCATTGTGTGAAACTTGTTTGTGATGTGTGTACTCAACTAACAGAGTTGAACCTTTCTTTTTACAGAGCAGTTTTGAAACACTCTTTTTGTAGAATCTGCGAGGGGATATTTGGATACATTTCAGGATTTCCTTGGAAACGGGAATATCTTCATATAAAATGTCGACAGAAGCATTCTCAGAAACTTCATTGTGATATCTGCATTCAAGTCACACAGTTGAATATTCCCTTTCACAGAGTAGGTTTGAAACACTCTTTTTGTAGTATCTGTAAGTGGACATTTGGAGCGCCTTGACACCTACGGTGAAAAGGGAAATATCTTCCCATAAAAACTAGACAGAAGCAATCTCAGAATCTTCTTTGGGATATATGCACGCAGCTAACAGAGTTGAACCTTTCTATTGACAGAGCAGTTTTGAAACAGTCTTTCTGTGGAATCTGCAAGTGGATATTTGGATAGCTTGGAGGATTTCGTTGGAAACGGGATTACGTATAAAAAGTAGCCAGCAGCATCCTCAGAAACTTCTTTGTGATGTGTGCATTCAAGTCACAGAGTTGAACATTCCCTTTCGTACAGCAGTTTTGAAACACTCTTTCTGTAGTATCTGGAAGTGAACATTAGGACAGCTTTCAGGTCTATGGTGAGAAAGGAAATATCTTCAAATAAAAACTGGACAGAAGCATTCTGATAAACTTGTTTGTGAAGTGTGAACTCAGCTAACAGAGGTGGATCTTTCCTTTGATAGAGCAATTCTGAAAAACACTTTGTTGAATCTGCAAGTGGACATTTGGATAGATTTGAAGATTTCGTTGGAAACGGGAATATCTTCATATCAAATCTAGACAGAAGCATTCTCAGAAACGTCTTTGCGATGTTTGCATTCAACTCATAGAGTTGAACATTCCGTTTCAGAGAGCAGCTTTGAGGCACTCTTTTTGTAGTATGTGCAAGTGGATATTTGGAGCGCTCTGAGGCCTTCGGTGAAAAAGCAAATATCTTCCCATAACCACTAGACAGAAACATTCTCAGAAACTCCTTTATGACGTATGCACTCACCTAAAAGAGAAGAACCTTCCTTTTGACAGAGCAGTTTTGATACACTCTTTTTGTAGAATCTGCAAGTGGATATTTGGATAGCTGTGAAGATTTCGTTGGAAACGGGAATATCTTCCTATAAAATCTAGACAGAAGCATTCTCAGAAACTGCTCTGTGATGTCTGCATTCAAGTCACAGAGTTGAACATTGTCTTTCATAGAGCAGGTTTGAAGCGTTCTTTTTGTACTATATGGAAGTGGACGTTTCGGACGGTTTGAGGCCCATGGTGATAAAGGGAATATCTTCCCCTACAAGCTAGAAAGAAGCATTCTGTGAAACTTGTTTGTGATGTGTGTACTCAACTAACAGAGTTGAACCTTTCTTTTTACAGAGCAGTTTTGAAACACTCTTTTTGTAGAATCTGCGAGGGGATATTTGGATAGATTTCAGGATTTCGTTGGAAAGGGGATTATCTTCATATAAAATCTCGACAGAAGCATTCTCAGAAGCTTCTTTGTGATATGTGCATTCAAGTCACAGAGTTGAATATTCCCTTTCACAGAGTAGGTTTGAAACACTCTTTTTGTAGTATCTGGAAGTGGACATTTGGAGCGCCTTGACGCCTACGGTGAAAAGGGAAATATCTTCTCATAAAAAGTAGACAGAAGCAATCTCAGAATCTTCTTTGGGATATATGCACGCAGCTAACAGAGTTGAACCTTTCTATTGACAGAGCAGTTTTGAAACAGTCTTTCTGTGGAATCTGCAAGTGGATATTTGGATAGCTTGGAGGATTTCGTTGGAAACGGGATTACGTATAAAAAGAAGACAGCAGCATCCTCAGAAACATCTTTGTGATGTGGGCATTCAAGTCACAAAGTTGAACATTCCCTTTCGTACAGCAGTTTTGAAACACTCTTTCTGTAGTATCTGGAAGTGAACATTAGGACAGCTTTCAGGTCTATGGTGAGAAAGGAAATATCTTCAAATAAAAACTAGACAGAAGCATTCTCATAAACTTGTTTGTGATGTGTGAACTCAGCTAACAGAGGTGGATCTTTCTTTTGATAGAGCAGTTCTGAAAAACACTTTTTGTTGAATCTGCAAGTGGACATTTGGATAGATTTGAAGATTTCGTTGGAAACGGGAATATCTTCATATCAAATGCTAGACAGAAGCATTCTCAGAAACGTCTCTGTGATGTTTGCATTCAACTCATAGAGTTGAACATTCCGTTTCAGAGAGCAGCTTTGAGGCACTCTTTTTGTAGTATGTGCAAGTGGATATTTGGAGCGCTCTGAGGCCTACGGTGAAAAAGCAAATATCTTCCCATAACCACTAGACAGAAACATTCTCAGAAACTCCTTTATGACGTATGCACTCACCTAACAGAGAAGAACCTTCCTTTTGACAGAGCAGTTTTGATACACTCTTTTTGTAGAATCTGCAAGTGGATATTTGGATAGCTGTGAAGATTTCGTTGGAAACGGGAATATCTTCCTATAAAATCTACACAGAAGCATTCTCAGGAACTGCTCTGTGATGTCTGCATTCAAGTCACAGAGTTGAACATTGCCTTTCCTAGAGCAGGTTTGAAACGCTCTTTTTGTAGTATATGGAAGTGGACGTTTCGGACGTTTTGAGGCCCATGGTGATGAAGGGAATATCATCCCCTACAAGCTAGAAAGAAGCATTCTGTGAAACTTGTTTGTGATGTGTGTACTCAACTAACAGAGTTGAACCTTTCTTTTTACAGAGCAGTTTTGAAACACTCTTCTTGTAGAATCTGCGAGGGGATATTTGGATAGATTTCAGGATTTTGTTGGAAACGGGAATATCTTAATATAAAATTCTCGACAGAAGCATTCTCAGAAACTTCTTTGTGATATGTGCATTCAAGTCACAGAGTTGAATATTCCCTTTCACCGAGTAGGTTTGAAACACTCTTTTTGTAGTATCTGGAAGTGGACATTTGGAGCGCCTTGACACCTACGGTGAAAAGGGAAATATCTTCCCATAAAAACTAGACAGAAGCAATCTCAGAATCTTCTTTGGGATATATGTACGCAGCTAATAGAGTTGAACCTTTCTATTGACAGAGCAGTTTTGAAACAGTCTTTCTGTGGAATCTGCAAGTGGATATTTGGATAGCTTGGAGGATTTCGTTGGAAACGGGATTACGTATAAAAAGTAGACAGCAGCATCCTCAGAAACATCCTTGTGATGTGTGCATTCCAGTCACAGAGTTGAACATTCCCGTTCGTACAGCAGTTTTGAAACACTCTTTCTGTAGTATCTGGAAGTGAACTTTAGGAGAGCTTTCAGGTCTATAGTGAGAAAGGATATATCTTCAAATAAAAACTAGACAGAAGCATTCTCATTAACTTGTTTGTGATGTGTGAACTCAGCTAACAGAGGTGGATCTTTCTTTTGATAGAGCAGTTCTGAAAAACATTTTTTGTTGAATCTGCAAGTGGACATTTGGATAGATTTGAAGATTTCGTTGGAAACGGGAATATCTTCATATCAAATCTAGACAGAAGCATTCTCAGAAACGTCTTTGTGATGTTTGCATTCAACTCATAGAGTTGAACATTCCCTTTCAGAGAGCAGCTTTGAAGCACTCTTTTTGTAGCATGTGCAAGTGGACATTTGGAGGGCCCTGAGGCATACGGGGAAAAAGCAAATATCTTCCCATAACCACTAGACAGAAACATTCTCAGAAACTCCTTTATGACGTATGCACTCACCTAACAGAGAAGAACCTTCCTTTTGACAGAGCAGTTTTGATACACTCTTTTTGTAGAATCTGCAAGTGGATATTTGGATAGCTGTGAAGATTTCGTTGGAAACTGGAATATCTTCCTATAAAATCTAGACAGAAGCATTCTCAGAAACTGCTCTGTGATGTCTGCATTCAAGTCACAGAGTTGAACATTGCCTTTCATAGAGCAGGTTTGAAACGCTCTTTTTGTAGTATATGGAAGTGGACTTTTCGGACGGTTTGAGGCCCATGGTGATAAAGGGAATATCTTCCCCTACAAGCTAGAAAGAAGCATTGTGTGAAACTTGTTTGTGATGTGTGTACTCAACTAAGAGAGTTGAACCTTTCTTTTTACAGAGCAGTTTTGAAACACTCTTTTTGTAGAATCTGCGAGGGGATATTTGGATAGATTTCAGGATTTCGTTGGAAACGGGAATATCTTCATATAAAATCTCGACAGAAGCATTCTCAGAAACTTCTTTGTAATATGTGCATTCAAGTCACAGAGTTGAATATTCCCTTTCACAGAGTAGGTTTGAAACACTCTTTTTGTAGTATCTGGAAGTGGACATTTGGAGCGCCTTGACGCCTACGGTGAAAAGGGAAATATCTTCCCATAAAAACTAGACAGAAGTAATCTCAGAATCTTCTTTGGGATATATGCACGCAGCTAACAGAGTTGAACCTTTCTATTGACAGAGCAGTTTTGAAACAGTCTTTCTGTGGAATCTGCAAGTGGATATTTGGATAGCTTGGAGGATTTCGTTGGAAACGGGATTAAGTATAAAAAGTAGACAGCAGCATCCTCAGAATCTTCTTTGTGATGTGTGCATTCAAGTCACAGAGTTGAACATTCCCTTTCGTACAGCAGTGTTGAAACACTCTTTCTGTAGTATCTGGAAGTGAACATTAGGACAGCTTTCAGGTCTATGGTGAGAAAGGAAATATCTTCAAATAAAAACTAGACAGAAGCATTCTCATAAACTTCTTTGTGATGTGTGAACTCAGCTAAGAGACGTGGATCTTTCTTTTGATAGAGCAGTTCTGAAAAACACTTTTTGTTGAATCTGCAAGTGGACATTTGGATAGATTTGAAGATTTCGTTGGAAACGGGAATAACTTCATTTCAAATCTAGACAGAAGCATTCTCAGAAATGTCTTTGTGATGTTTGCATTCAACCCATAGAGTTGAACATTCCCTTTCAGAGAGCAGCTTTGAAGCACTCTTTTTGTAGTATGTGCAAGGGGATATTTGGAGCGCTCTGAGGCCTAAGGTGAAAAATCAAATATCTTCCCATAACCACTAGACAGAAACATTCTCAGAAACTCCTTTATGACGTATGCACTCACCTAACAGAAAAGAACCTTCCTTTTGACAGAGCAGTTTTGATACACTCTTTTTGTGGAATCTGCAAGTGGATATTTGGATAGCTGTGAAGATTTCGTTGGAAACGGGAATATCTTCCTACAAAATCTAGACAGAAGCATTCTCAGAAACTGCTCTGTGATGTCTGCATTCAAGTCACAGCAGTTGAACATTGCCTTTCCTAGAGCAGGTTTGAAACGCTCTTTTTGTAGTATATGGAAGTGGACGTTTCGGACGGTTTGAGGCCCATGGTGATAAAGGGAATATCTTCCCCTACAAGCTAGAAAGAAGCATTCTGTGAAACTTGTTTGTGATGTGTGTACTGAAGTAACAGAGTTGAACCTTTCTTTTTACAGAGCAGTTTTGAAACACTCTTTTTGTAGAATCTGCGAGGGGATATTTGGATAGATTTCAGGATTTCGTTGGAAACGGGAATATCTTTATAGAAAATCTCGACAGAAGCATTCTCAGAAACTTCTTTGTGATATGTGCATTCAAGTCACAGAGTTGAATATTCACTTTCACAGAGTAGGTTTGAAACACTCCTTTTGTAGTATCTGGAAGTGGACATTTGGAGCGCCTTGACGCCTACGGTGAAAAGGGAAATATCTTCCCATAAAAACTAGACAGAAGCAATCTCAGAATCTTCTTTGGGATATATGCACGCAGCTAACAGAGTTGAACCTTTCCATTGACAGAGCAGTTTTGAAACAGTCTTTCTGTGGAATCTGCAAGTGGATATTTGGATACCTTGGAGGATTTCGTTGGAAACGGGATTACGTATAAAAAGTAGACAGCAACATCCTCAGAAACTTCTTTGTGATGTGTGCATTCAAGTCACAGAGTTGAACATTCCCTTTCGTACAGCAGTTTTGAAACACTCTTTCTGTAGTATCTGGAAGTGAACATTAGGACAGCTTTCAGCTCTATGGTGAGAAAGGAAATATCTTCAAATAAAAACTAGACAGAAGCATTCTCATAAACTTGTTTGTGATGTGTGAACTCAGCTAACAGAGGTGGATCTTTCTTTTGATAGAGCAGTTCTGAAAAACACTTTTTGTTGAATCTGCAAGTGGACATTTGGATAGATTTGAAGATTTCGTTGGAAACGGGAATATCTTCAATATCAAATCTAGACAGAAGCATTCTCAGAAACGTCTTTGTGATGTTTGCATTCAACTCATAGAGTGGAACATTCCCTTTCAGAGAGCAGCTTTGAAGCACTCTTTTTGTAGTATGTGCAAGTGGATATTTGGAGCGCTCTGAGGCCTACGGTGAAAAAGCAAATATCTTCCCATAACCACTAGACAGAAACATTCTCAGAAACTCCTTTATGACGTATGTACTCAACTAACAGAGAAGAACCTTCCTTTTGACAGAGCAGTTTTGATACACTCTTTTTGTAGAATCTGCAAGTGGATATTTGTATAGCTGTGAAGATTTCGTTGGAAACGGGAATATCTTCCTATAAAATCTAGACAGAAGCATTCTCAGAAACTGCTCTGTGATGTCTGCATTCAAGTCACAGAGTTGAACATTGCCTTTCATAGAGCAGGTTTGAAATGCTCTTTTTGTAGTATATGGAAGTGGACGTTTCAGACAGTTTGAGGCCCATGGTGATAAAGGGAATATCTTCCCCTACAAGCTAGAAAGAAGCATTCTGTGAAACTTGTTTGTGATGTGTGTACTCAACTAACAGAGTTGAACTTTTCTTTTTACAGAGCAGTTTTGAAACACTCTTTTTGTAGAATCTGCGAGGGGATATTTGGATAGATTTCAGAATTTCGTTGGAAACGGGAATATCTTCATATAAAATCTCGACAGAAGCATTCTCAGAAACTTCTTTGTGATATGTGCATTCAAGTCACAGAGTTGAATATTCCCTTTCACAGAGTAGGTTTGAAACACTCTTTTTGTAGTATCTGGAAGTGGACATTTGGAGCGCCTTGACGCCTACGGTGAAAAGGGAAATATCTTCCCATCAAAACTAGACAGAAGCAATCTCAGCAATCTTCTTTGTGATATATGCACGCAGCTAACAGAGTTGAACCTTTCTATTGACTGAGCAGATTTGAAACAGTCTTTCTGTGGAATCTGCAAGTGGATATTTGGATAGATTGGAGGATTTCGTTGGAAACGGGATTACGTATAAAAAGTACACAGCAGCATCCTCAGAAACTTCCTTGTGATGTGTGCATTCAATTCACAGAGTTGAACATTCCCTTTCGTACAGCAGTTTTGAAACACTCTGTAGTATCTGGAAGTGAACATTAGGACAGCTTTCAGCTCTATGGTGAGAAACGAAATATCTTCAAATAAAAACTAGACAGAAGCATTCTCATAAACTTGTTTGTGATGTGTGAACTCAGCTAACAGAGGTGGATCTTTCTTTTGATAGAGCAGTTCTGAAAAACACTTTTTGTTGAATCTGCAAGTGGACATTTGGATAGATTTGAAGATTTCGTTGGAAACGGGAACATCTTCATATCAAATCTAGACAGAAGCATTCTCAGAAACGTCTTTGTGATGTTTGCATTCAACTCATAGAGTTGAACATTCCCTTTCAGAGAGCAGCTTTGAGGCACTCTTTTTGTAGTATGTGCAAGTGGATATTTGGAGCGCTCTGAGGCCTACGGTGAAAATGCAAATATCTTCCCATAACCACTAGACAGAAACATTCTCAGAAACTCCTTTATGACGTATGCACTCAACTAACAGAAAAGAACCTTCCTTTTGACAGAGCAGTTTTGATACACTCTTTTTGTAGAATCTGCAAGTGGATATTTGGGTAGCTGTGAAGATTTCGTTGGAAACGGGAATATCTTCCTATAAAATCTAGACAGAAGCATTCTCAGAAACTGCTCTGTGATGTCTGCATTCAAGTCACAGAGTTGAACATTGCCTTTCCTAGAGCAGGTTTGAAACGCTCTTTTTGTAGTATATGGAAGTGGACGATTCGGACGGTTTGAGGCCCATGGTGATAAAGGGAATATCTTCCCCTACAAGCTAGAAAGAAGCATTCTGTGAAACTTGTTTGTGATGTGTGTACTCAACTAACAGAGTTGAACCTTTCTTTTTACAGAGCAGTTTTGAAACACTCTTTTTGTAGAATCTGCGAGGGGATATTTTGATAGATTTCAGGATTTCGTTGGAAACGGGAATATCTTCCTATAAAATCTCGACAGAAGCATTCTCAGAAACTTCTTTGTGACATGTGCATTCAAGTCACAGAGTTGAATATTCCCTTTCACAGAGTAGGTTTGAAACACTCTTTTTGTAGTATCTGGAAGTGGACATTTGGAGCGCCTTGACGCCTACGGTGAAAAGGGAAATATCTTCCCATAAAAACTAGACAGAAGCAATCTCAGAATCTTCTTTGGGATATATGCACGCAGCTAACAGAGTTGAACCTTTCTATTAACAGAGCAGTTTTGAAACAGTCTTTCTGTGGAATCTGCAAGTGGATATTTGGATAGCTTGGAGGATTTCGTTGGAAACGGGATTACGTATAAAAAGTAGACAGCAGCCTCCTCAGAAACTTCTTTGTGATGTGTGCATTCAAGTCACAGAGTTGAACATTCCCTTTCGTACAGCAGTTTTGAAACACTCTTTCTGTAGTATCTGGAAGTGAACATTAGTACAGCTTTCAGGTCTATGGTGAGAAAGGCAATATCTTCAAATAAAAACTAGACAGAAGCATTCTCATAAACTTGTTTGTGATGTGTGAACTCAGCTAACAGAGGTGGATCTTTCTTTTGATAGAGCAGTTCTGAAAAACACTTTTTGTTGAATCTGCAAGTGGAGATTTGGATAGATTTGAAGATTTCGTTGGAAACGGGAATATCTTCATATCAAATCTAGACAGAAGCATTCTCAGAAACGTCTTTGTGATGTTTGCATTCAACTCATAGAGTTGAACATTCCCTTTCAGAGAGCAGCTTTGAAGCACTCTTTTTGTAGCATGTGCAAGTGGACATTTGGAGCGCCCTGAGGCCTACGGGGAAAAAGCAAATATCTTCCCATAACCACTAGACAGAAACATTCTCAGAAACTCCTTTATGACGTATGCACTCACCTAACAGAGAAGAACCTTGCTTTTGACAGAGCAGTTTTGATACACTCTTTTTGTAGCATCTGCAAGTGGATATTTGGATAGCTGTGAAGATTTCGTTGGAAACGGGAATATCTTCCTATAAAATCTAGACAGAAGCATTCTCAGAAACTGCTCTGTGATGTCTGCATTCAAGTCACAGAGTTGAACATTGCCTTTCATAGAGCAGGTTTGAAACGCTCTTTTTGTAGTATATGGAAGTGGACTTTTCGGACGGTTTGAGGCCCATGGTGATAAAGGGAATATCTTCCCCTGCAAGCTAGAAAGAAGCATTCTGTGAAACTTGTATTGTGAGGTGTGTACTCAACTAACAGAGTTGAACTTTTCTTTTTACAGAGCAGTTTTGAAACACTCTTTTTGTAGAATCTGCGAGGGGATATTTGGATAGATTTCAGGATTTCGTTGGAAAGGGGAATATCTTCATATAAAATCTCGACAGAAGCATTCTGAGAAACCTCTTTGTGATACCTGCACTCAAGTCACAGAGTTGAATATTCCCTTTCACAGAGTAGGTTTGAAACACTCTTTTTGTAGTATTTGGAAGTGGACATTTGGAGCGCCTTGACGCCTACGGTGAAAAAGGAAATATGAAATATCTTCCCATAAATACTAGACAGAAGCAATCTCAGAATCTTCTTTGGGATGTATGCACCCAGCTAACAGAGTTGAAACTTTCTATTGACAGAGCAGTTTTGAAACAGTCTTTTAGTGGAATCTGCAAGTGGATATTTTGATAGCTTGGAGGATTTCTTTGGAAACGGGATTATGTATACAAAGTAGACAGCAGCATCCTCAGAAACTTCTTTGTGATGTGTGCATTCAAGTCACAGAGTTGAACATTCCTTTTCGTACAGCAGTTTTGAAACACTCTTTCTGTAGTATCTGGAAGTGAACATTATGACAGCTTTCAGGTCTATGGTGAGAAAGGAAATATCTTCAAATAAAAACGAGACAGAAGCATTCTCATAAACTTGTTTGTGATGTGTGAACTCAGCTAACACACGTGGATCTTTCTTTTGATAGAGCAGTTCTGAAAAACAATTTTTGTAGAATCTGCAAGTGGACATTTGGATAGATTTGAAGATTTCCTTGGAAACGGGAATATCTTCATATCAAATCTAGACAGAAGCATTCTCAGAAACGTCTTTGTGATGTTTGCATTCAACTCATAGAGTTGAACATTCCGTTTCAGAGAGCAGCTTTGAAGCACTCTTTTTGTAGTATGTGCAAGTGGATATTTGGAGCGCTCTGAGGCCTACGGGGAAAAAGCAAATATCTTCCCATAACCACTAGACAGAAACATTCTCAGAAACTGCTTTATGACGTATGTACTCAACTAACAGAGAAGAACCTTCCTTTTGACAGAGCAGTTTTGATACACTCTTTTTGTAGAATCTGCAAGTGCATATTTGGATAGCTGTGAAGATTTCGTTGGAAACGGGAATATCTTCCTATAAAATCTAGACAGAAGCATTCTCAGAAACTGCTCTGTGATGTCTGCATTCAAGTCACAGAGTTGAACATTGCCTTTCCTAGAGCAGGTTTGAAACGCTCTTTTTGTAGTATATGGAAGTGGACGTTTCGGACGCTTTGAGGCCCATGGTGATAAAGGGAATATCTTCCCCTACAAGCTAGAAAGAAGCATTCTGTGAAACTTGTTTGTGATGTGTGTACTCAACTAACAGAGTTGAACCTTTCTTTTTACAGAGCAGTTTTGAAACACTCTTTTTGTAGAATCTGCGAGGGGATATTTGGATACATTTCAGAATTTCGTTGGAAACGGGAATATCTTCATATAAAATCTCGACAGAAACATTCTCAGAAACTTCCTTGTGATATGTGCATTCAAGTCACAGACTTGAATATTCCCTTTCACAGAGTAGGTTTGAAACACTCTTTTTGTAGTATCTGGAAGTGGACATTTGGAGCGCCTTGACGCCTACGGTGAAAAGGGAAATATCTTCCCATAAAAACTAGACAGAAGCAATCTCAGAATCTTCTTTGGGATATATGCACGCAGCTAACAGAGTTGAACCTTTCTATTGACACAGCAGTTTTGAAACAGTCTTTCTGTGGAATCTGCAAGTGGATATTTGGATAGCTTGGAGGATTTCGTTGGAAACGGGATTACGTATAAAAAGTAGACAGCAGCATCCTCAGAAACTTCTTTGTGATGTGTGCATTCAAGTCACAGAGTTGAACATTCCCTTTCGTACAGCAGTTTTGAAACACTCTTTCTGTAGTATCTGAAGTGAACAATAGGACAGCTTTCAGGTCTATGATGAGAAAGGAAATATCTTCAAATAAAAACTAGACAGAAGCATTCTCATAAACTTGTTTGTGATGTGTGAACTCAGCAAACAGAGGTGGATCTTTCTTTTGATAGAGCAGTTCTGAAAAACACTTTTTGTTGAATCTGCAAGTGGACATTTGGATAGATTTGAAGATTTCGTTCGAAACGGGAATATCTTCATATCAAATCTAGACAGAAGCATTCTCAGAAAGGTCTTTGTGATGTTTGCATTCAACCCATAGAGTTGAACATTCCGTTTCAGAGAGCAGCTTTGAAGCACTCTTTTTGTAGTATGTGCAAGGGGATATTTTGAGCGCTTTGAGGCCTAAGGTGAAAAAGCAAATATCTTCCCATAACCACTAGACAGAAACATTCTCAGAAACTCCTTTATGACGTATGTACTCAACTAACAGAGAAGAACCTTCCTTTTGACAGAGCAGTTTTGATACACTCTTTTTGTAGAATCTGCAAGTGGATATTTGGATAGCTGTGAAGATTTCGTTGGAAACGGGAATATCTTCCTATAAAATGCCAGACAGAAGCATTCTCAGAAACTGCTCTGTGATGTCTGCATTCAAGTCACAGAGTTGAACATTGCCTTTCATAGAGCAGGTTTGAAACGCTCTTTTTGTAGTATATGTAAGTGGATGTTTCGGACGGTTGGAGGCCCATGGTGATAAAGGGAATATCTTCCCCTACAAGCTAGAAAGAAGCATTCTGTGAAACTTGTTTGTGATGTGTGTACTCAACTAACAGAGTTGAACCTTTCTTTTTACAGAGCAGTTTTGAAACACTCTTTTTGTAGAATCTGCGAGGGGATATTTGGATACATTTCAGCATTTCGTTGGAAACGGGAATATCTTCATATAAAATCTCGACAGAAGCATTCTCAGAAACTTCCTTGTGATATGTGCATTCAAGTCACAGAGTTGAATATTCCCTTTCACAGAGTAGGTTTGAAACACTCTTTTTGTAGTATCTGGAAGTGCACATTTGGAGCGCCTTGACGCCCACGGTGAAAAGGGAAATATCTTCCCATAAAAACTAGACAGAAGCAATCTCAGCAATCTTCTTTGGGATATATGCACGCAGCTAACAGAGTTGAACCTTTCTATTGACAGAGCAGTTTTGAAACAGTCTTTCTGTGGAATCTGCAAGTGGATATTTGGATAGCTTGGAGGATTTCGTTGGAAACGGGATTACGTATATAAAGTAGACCACAGCATCCTCAGAAACTTCTTTGTGATGTGTGCATTCAAGTCACAGAGTTGAACATTCCCTTTCGTACAGCAGTTTTGAAACACTCTTTCTGTAGTATCTGGAAGTGTACATTAGGACAGCTTTCAGGTCTATGGTGAGAAAGGAGATATCTTCAAATAAAAACTAGACAGAAGCATTCTCATAAACTTGTTTGTGATGTGTGAACTCAGCTAACAGAGGTGGATCTTTCTTTTGATAGAGCAGTTCTGAAAAACACGTTTTGTTGAATCTGCAAGGGGACATTTGGATAGATTTGAAGATGTCGTTGGAAACGGGAATATCTTCATATCAAATCTAGACAGAAGCATTCTCGGAAACGTCTTTGTGATGTTTGCATTCAACTCAGAGAGTTGAACATTCCGTTTCAGAGAGCAGCTTTGAAGCACTCTTTTTGTAGTATGTGCAAGTGGATATTTGGAGCGCTCTGAGGCCTACGGTGAAAAAGCAAATATCTTCCCATAACCACTAGACAGAAACATTCTCAGAAACTCCTTTATGACGTATGCACTCACCTAACAGAGAAGAACCTTCCTTTTGACAGAGCAGTTTTGATACACTCTTTTTGTAGAATCTGCAAGTGGATATTTGGATAGCTGTGAAGATTTCGTTGGAAACGGGAATATCTTCCTATAAAATCTAGACAATAACATTCTCAGGAACTGCTCTGTGATGTCTGCATTCAAGTCACAGAGTTGAACATTGCCTTTCCTAGAGCAAATTTGAAACGCTCTTTTTGTAGTATATGGAAGTGGACGTTTCGGACGGTTTGAGGCCCATGGTGATAAAGGGAATATCTTCCCCTACAAGCTAGAAAGAAGCATTCTGTGAAACTTGTTTGTGATGTGTGTACTCAACTAACAGAGTTGAACCTTTCTTTTTACAGAGCAGTTTTGAAACACTCTTTTTGTAGAATCTGCGAGGGGATATTTGGATAGATTTCAGGATTTCGTTGGAAACGGGAATATCTTAATATAAAATCTCGACAGAAGCATTCTCAGAAACTTCTTTGTGATATCTGCATTCAAGTCACAGAGTTGAATATTCCCTTTCACAGAGTAGGTTTGAAACACTCTTTTTGTAGTATCTGGAAGTGGACATTTGGAGCGCCGTGACGCCTACGGTGAAAAGGAAAATATCTTCCCATAAAAACTAGACAGAAGGAATCTCAGAATCTTCTTTGGGATATATGCACGCAGCTAACAGAGTTGAACCTTTCTATTGACAGAGCAGTTTTGAAACAGTCTTTCTGTGGAATCTGCAAGTGGATATTTGGATAGCTTGGAGGATTTCGTTGGAAACGGGATTACGTATAAAAAGTAGACAGCAGCATCCTCAGAAACTTCTTTGTGATGTGTGCATTCAAGTCACAGATTTGAACATTCCCTTTCGTACAGCAGTTTTGAAACACTCTTTCTGTCGTATCTGGAAGTGAACATTAGGACAGCTTTCAGCTCTATGGTGAGAAAGGAAATATCTTCAAATAAAAACTAGACAGAAGCATTCTCATAAACTTGTTTGTGATGTGTGAACTCAGCTAACAGAGGTGAATCTTTCTTTTGATAGAGCAGTTCTGAAAAACACTTTTTGTTGAATCTGCAAGTGGACATTTGGATAGATTTGAAGATTTCGTTGGAAACGGGAATATCTTCATATCAAATCTAGACAGAAGCATTCTCAGAAACGTCTTTGTGATGTTTGCATTCAAGTCATAGAGTTGAACATTCCGTTTCAGAGAGCAGCTTTGAAGCACTCTTTTTGTAGTATGTGCAAGTGGATATTTGGAGCGCTCTGAGACCTACGGGTGAAAAAGCAAATATCTTCCCATAACCACTAGACAGAAACATTCTCAGAAACTCCTTTATGACGTATGTACTCAACTAACAGAGGAGAACCTTCCTTTTGACAGAGCAGTTTTGATACACTCTTTTTGTAGAATCTGCAAGTGGATATTTGGATAGCTTGGAAGATTTCGTTGGAAAAGGGAATATCTTCCTATAAAACCTAGACAAAAGCATTCTCAGAAACTGCTCTGTGATGTCTGCATTCAAGTCACAGAGTTGAACATTGCCTTTCATAGAGCAGGTTTGAAACGCTCTTTTTGTAGTATATGGAAGTGGACTTATCGGACGGTTGGAGGCCCATGGTGATAAAGGGAATATCTTCCCCTACAAGCTAGAAAGAAGCATTCTGTGAAACTTGTTTGTGATGTGTGTACTCAACTAACAGAGTTGAACCTTTCTTTTTACAGAGCAGTTTTGAAACATTCTTTTTGTAGAATCTGCGAGGGGATATTTGGATAGATTTCAGGATTTCGTTGGAAACGGGAATATCTTCATATAAAATCTCGACAGAAGCATTCTCAGAAACTTCTTTGTGATATGTGCATTCAAGTCACAGAGTTGAATATTCCCTTTCACAGAGTAGGTTTGAAACACTCTTTTTGTAGTATCTGGAAGTGGACATTTGGAGCGCCTTGACACCTACGGTGAAAAGGGAAATATCTTCCCATAAAAACTAGACAGAAGCAATCTCAGAATCTTCTTTGGGATATATGCACGCAGCTCACAAAGTTGAACCTTTCTATTGACAGAGCAGTTTTGAAACAGTCTTTCTGTGGAATCTGCAAGTGGATATTTGGATAGCTTGGAGGATTTCGTTGGAAACGGGATTACGTATAAAAATTAGACAGCAGCATCCTCAGAAACATCCTTGTGATGTGTGCATTCAAGTCACAGAGTTGAACATTCCCTTTCGTACAGCAGTTTTGAAACACTCTTTCTGTAGTATCTGGAAGTGAACTTTAGGACAGCTTTCAGGTCTATAGTGAGAAAGGTTATATCTTCAAATAAAAACTAGACAGAAGCATTCTGATAAACTTGTTTGTGAAGTGTGATCTCAGCTAACAGAGGTGGATCTTTCTTTTGATAGAGCAGTTCTGAAAAACACTTTGTTGAATCTGCAAGTGGACATTTGGATAGATTTGAAGATTTCGTTGTAAACGGGAATATCTTCATATCAAATCTAGACAGAAGCAGTCTCAGAAACGTCTTTGTGATGTTTGCATTCAACTCATAGAGTTGAACATTCCGTTTCAGAGAGCAGCTTTGAAGCACTCTTTTTGTAGTATGTGCAAGTGGATATTTGGAGCGCTCTGAGGCCTACGGTGAAAAAGCAAATATCTTCCCTTAACCACTAGACAGAAACATTCTCAGAAACTCCTTTATGACGTATGTACTCAACTAACAGAAGAAGAACCTTCCTTTTGACAGAGCAGTTTTGATACACTCTTTTTGTAGAATCTGCAAGTGGATATTTGGATAGCTGTGAAGATTTCGTTGGAAACGGGAATATCTTCCTATAAAATCTAGACAGAAGCATTCTCAGAAACTGCTCTGTGATGTGTGCATTCAAGTCACAGAGTTGAACATTGCCTTTCATAGAGCAGGTTTGAAACGCTCTTTTTTGTAGTATATGGAAGTGGACGTTTCGGACGGTTTGAGGCCCATGGTGATAAAGGGAATATCTTCCCCTACCAGCTAGAAAGAAGCATTCTGTGAAACTTGTTTGTGATGTGTGTACTCAACTAACAGAGTTGAACCTTTCTTTTTACAGAGCAGTTTTGAAACACTCTTTTTGTAGAATCTGCGTGGGGATATTTGGATAGATATCAGGATTTCCTTGGAAACGGGAATATCTTCTTTGAAAATCTCGGCAGAAGCATTCTCAGAAACTTCATTGTGATATCTGCATTCAAGTCACAGAGTTGAATATTCCCTTTCACAGAGTAGGTTTGAAACACTCTTTTTGTAGTATCTGGAAGTGGACATTTGGAGCGCCTTGACACCTACGGTGAAAAGGGAAATATCTTCCCATAAAAGCTAGACAGAAGCAATCTCAGAATCTTCTTTGGGATATATGCACGCAGCTAACAGAGTTGAACATTTCTATTGACAGAGCAGTTTTGAAACAGTCTTTCTGTGGAATCTGCAAGTGGATATTTGGATAGCTTGGAGGATTTCGTTGGAAACGGGATTACGTATAAAAAGTAGACAGCAGCATCCTCAGAAACTTCTTTGTGATGTGTGCATTCAAGTCACAGAGTTGAACATTCCCTTTCGTACAGCAGTTTTGAAACACTCTTTCTGTAGTATCTGGAAGTGAACATTAGGACAGCTTTCAGCTCTGTGGTGAAAAAGGAAATATCTTCAAATAAAAACTAGACAGAAGCATTCTCATAAACTTGTTTGTGATGTGTGAACTCAGCTAACAGACGTGGATCTTTCTTTTGATAGAGCAGTTTTGAAAAACCCTTTTTGTTGAATCTGCAAGTGGACATTTGGATAGATTTGAAGATTTCGTTGGAAACGGGAATATCTTCATATCAAATCTAGACAGAAGCATTCTCAGAAACGTCTTTGTGATGTTTGCATTCAACTCATAGAGTTGAACATTCCGTTTCAGAGAGCAGCTTTGAAGCACTCTTTTTGTAGTATGTGCAAGTGGATATTTGGAGCGCTGTGAAGCCTACGGTGAAAAAGCAAATATCTTCCCATAACCACTAGACAGAAACATTCTCAGAAATTCCTTTATGACGTATGTACTCAAGTAACAGAGAAGAACCTTCCTTTTGACAGAGCAGTTTTGATAAACTCTTTTTGTAGAATCTGCAAGTGGATATTTGGATAGCTGTGAAGATTTCGTTGGAAACGGGAATATCTTCCTATAAAATCTAGACAGAAGCATTCTCAGAAACTGCTCTGTGATGTCTGCATTCAAGTCACAGAGTTGAACATTGCCTTTCATAGAGCAGGTTTGAAACACTCTTTTTTTAGTATATGGAAGTGGACGTTTCGGACGGTTTGAGGCCCATGGTGATAAAGGAAATATCTTCCCCTACAAGCTAGAAAGAAGCATTCTGTGAAACTTGTTTGTGAAGTGTGTACTCAAGTAACAGAGTTGAACCTTTCTTTTTACAGAGCAGTTTTGAAACACTCTTTTTGTAGAATCTGCGAGGGGATATTTGGATAGATTTCAGGATTTCGTTGGAAACGGGAATATCTTCATATAAAATCTCGACAGAAGCATTCTCAGAAACTTCTTTGTGATATGTGCATTCAAGTCACAGAGTTGAATATTCCCTTTCACAGAGTACGTTTGAAACACTCTTTTTGTAGTATCTGGAAGTGGACATTTGGAGCGCCTTGACGCCTACGGTGAAAAGGGAAATATCTTCCCATAAAAACTAGACAGAAGCAATCTCAGAATCTTCTTTGGGATATATGCACGCAGCTAACAGAGTTGAACCTTTCTATTGACAGAGCAGCTTTGAAACAGTCTTTCTGTGGAATCTGCAAGTGGATATTTGGATAGCTTGGAGGATTTCGTTGGAAACGGGATTACGTATAAAAAGTAGACAGCAGCATCCTCAGAAACTTCTTTGTGATGTGTGCATTCAAGTCACAGAGTTGAACATTCCCTTTCGTACAGCAGTTTTGAAACACTCTTTCTGTAGTATCTGGAAGTGAACATTAGGACAGCTTTCAGCTCTATGGTGAGAAAGGAAATATTTTCAAATAAAAACTAGACAGAAGCATTCTCATAAACTTGTTTGTGATGTGTGAACTCAGCTAACAGAGGTGGATCTTTCTTTTGATAGAGCAGTTCTGAAAAACACTTTTTGTTGAATCTGCAAGTGGACATTTGGATAGATTTGAAGATTTCCTTGGAAACGGGAATATCTTCATATCAAATCTAGACAGAAGAATTCTCAGAAACGTCTTTGTGATGTTTGCATTCAACTCATAGAGTTCAACATTCCCTTTCAGAGAGCAGCTTTGAAGCACTCTTTTTGTAGTATGTGCAAGTGGATATTTGGAGCGCTCTGAGGCCTACGGTGAAAAATCAAATATCTTCCCATAACCACTAGACAGAAACATTCTCAGAAACTCCTTTATGACGTATGCACTCACCTAACAGAAAAGAACCTTCCTTTTGACAGAGCAGTTTTGATACACTCTTTTTGTAGAATCTGCAAGTGGATATTTGGATAGCTGTGAAGATTTCGTTGGAAACGGGAATATCTTCCTATAAAATCTAGACAGAAGCATTCTCAGAAACTGCTCTGTGATGTCTGCATTCAAGTCACAGAGTTGAACATTGCCTTTCCTAGAGCAGGTTTGAAACGCTCTTTTTGTAGTATATGGAAGTTGACGTTTCGGAAGGTTTGAGGCCCATGGTGATAAAGGGAATATCTTCCCCTACAAGCTAGAAAGAAGCATTCTGTGAAACTTGTTTGTGATATGTGTACTCAACTAACAGAGTTGAACCTTTCTTTTTACAGAGCAGTTTTGAAACACTCTTTCTGTAGAATCTGCGAGGGGATATTTGGATAGATTTCAGGATTTCGTTGGAAACGGGAATATCTTCATATAAAATCTCGACAGAAGCATTCTCAGAAACTTCTTTGTGATATGTGCATTCAAGTCACAGAGTTGAATATTCCCTTTCACAGAGTAGGTTTGAAACACTCTTTTTGTAGTATCTGGAAGTGGACATTTGGAGCGCCTTGACGCCTATGGTGAAAAGGGAAATATCTTCCCATGAAAACTAGACAGAAGCAATATCAGAATCTTCTTTGGGATATATGCACGCAGCTAACAGAGTTGAACCTTTCTATTGACAGAGCAGTTTTGAAACAGTCTTTCTGTGGAATCTGCAAGTGGATATTTGGATAGCTTGGAGGATTTCTTTGGAAACGGGATTACGTATAAAAAGTAGACAGCAGCATCCTCAGAAACATCCTTGTGATGTGTGCATTCAAGTCACAGAAGTTGAACATTCCCTTTCGAACAGCAGTTTTGAAACACTCTTTCTGTAGTATCTGGAAGTGAACTTTAGGAGAGCTTTCAGGTCTATAGTGAGAAAGGATATATCTTCAAATAAAAACTAGACAGAAGCATTCTGATAAACTTGTTTGTGAAGTGTGATCTCAGCTAACAGAGGTGGATCTTTCTTTTGATAGAGCAGTTCTGAAAAACGCTTTGTTGAATCTGCAAGTGGACATTTGGATAGATTTGAAGATTTCGTTGGAAACGGGAATATCTTCATATCAAATCTAGACAGAAGCATTCTCAGAAACGTCTTTGCGATGTTTGCATTCAACTCATAGAGTTGAACATTCCCTTTCAGAGACCAGCTTTGAAGCACTCTTTTTGTAGTATGTGCAAGTGGATATTTGGAGCGCTCTGAGGCCTACGGTGAAAAAGCAAATATCTTCCCATAACCACTAGACAGAAACATTCTCAGAAACTTCTTTATGACGTATGTACTCAAGTAGCAGAGAAGAACTTTCCTTTTGACCGAGCATTTTTGATACACTCTTTTTGTACTATCTGCAAGTGGATATTTGGATAGCTGTGAAGATTTCGTTGGAAACGGGAATATCTTCCTATAAAGTCTGGACAGAAGCATTCTCAGAAACTGCTCTGTGATGTCTGCATTCAAGTCACAGAGTTGAACATTGCCTTTCATAGAGCAGGTTTGAAACACTCTTTTTTTAGTATATGGAAGTGGACGTTTCGGACGGTTTGAGGACCATGGTGATAAAGGAAATATCTTCCCCTACAAGCTAGAAAGAAGCATTCTGTGAAACTTGTTTGTGATGTGTGTACTCAACTAACAGAGTTGAACCTTTCTTTTTACAGATCAGTGTTGAAACACTCTTTTTGTGGAATCTGCGAGGGGATATTTGGATAGATTTCAGGATTTCGTTGGAAACGGGAATATCTTCATATAAAATCTCGACGGAAGCATTCTCAGAAACTTCTTTGTGACATCTGCCTTTAAGTCACAGAGTTGAATATTCCCTTTCACAGAGTAGGTTTGAAACACTCTTTTTGTAGTATCTGGAAGTGGACATTTGGAGCGCCTTGACACCTACGGTGAAAAGGGAAATATCTTCCCATAAAAACTAGACAGAAGCAATCTCAGAATCTTCTTTGGGATATATGCACACAGCTAACAGAGTTGAACCTTTCTATTGACAGAGCAGTTTTGAAACAGTCTTTCTGTGGAATCTGCAAGTGGATATTTGGATAGCTTGGAGGATTTCGTTGGAAACGGGATTAAGTATAAAAAGTAGACAGCAGCATCCTCAGAAACTTCTTTGTGATGTGTGCATTCAAGTCACAGAGTTGAATATTCCCTTTCGTACAGCAGTTTTGAAACACTCTTTCTGTAGCATCTGGAAGTGAACATTAGGACAGCTTTCAGGTCTATGGTGAGAAAGGAAATATCTTCAAATAAAAACTAGACAGAAGCATTCTCATAAACTTGTTTGTGATGTGTGAACTCAGCTAACAGAGGTGTATCTTTCCTTTGATAGAGCAGTTCTGAAAAACACGTTTTGTTGAATCTGCAAGTGGACATTTTGATAGATTTGAAGATTTCGTTGCAAACGGGAATATCTTCATATCAAAGCTAGACAGAAGCATTCTCAGAAACGTCTTTGTGATGTTTGCATTCAACTCATAGAGTTGAACATTCCCTTTCAGAGAGCAGCTTTGAAGCACTCTTTTTAAGTATGTGCAAGTGGACATTTGGAGCGCTTTGAGGCCTACGGGGAAAAAGTAAATATCTTACCATAACCCCTAGACAGAAACATTCTCAGAAACTTCTTTATCACGTATGTACTCAACTAAAACAGAAGAACCTTCCTTTTGAGAGAGCAGTTTTGATACACTCCATTGGAGAATCTGCAAGTGGATATTTGGATAGCTGTGAAGAATTCGTTGGAAACGGGAATACCTTCCTATAAAATCTAGACAGAAGCATTCTCAGAAACTGCTCTGTGATGTCTGCATTCAAGTCACAGTAGTTGAACATTGTCTTTCATAGAGCAGGTTTGAAGCGCTCTTTTTGTAGTATATGGAAGTGGACGTTTCGGACGGTTTGAGGCCCATGGTGATAAAGGGAATATCTTCCCCTACAAGCTAGAAAGAAGCATTCTGTGAAACTTGTTTGTGATGTGTGTACTCAACTAACAGAGTTGAACCTTTCTTTTTACAGAGCAGTTTTGAAACACTCTTTTTGTAGAATCTGCGAGGGGATATTTGGAGAGATTTCAGGATTTTGTTGGAAACGGAAATATCTTCATATAAAATCTCGACAGAAGCATTCTCAGAAACTTCCTTGTGATATGTGCATTCAAGTCACAGAGTTGAATGTTCCCTTTCACAGAGTAGGTTTGAAACACTCTTTTTGTAGTATCTGGAAATGGACATTTGGAGCGCCTTGACGCCTACGGTGAAAAGGGAAATATCTTCCCATCAAAACTAGACAGAAGCAATCTCAGAATCTTCTTTGGGATATATGCACGCAGCTAACAGAGTTGAACCTTTCTATTGACAGAGCAGTTTTGAAACAGTCTTTCTGTGGAATCTGCAAGTGGATATTTGGATAGCTTGGAGTATTTCGTTGGAAACGGGATTAAGTATAAAAAGTAGACAGCAGCATCCTCAGAAACTTCTTTGTGATGTGTGCATTCAAGTCACAGAGTTGAACATTCCCTTTCGTACAGCAGTTTTGAAACACTCTTTCTGTAGTAACTGGAACTGAACATTAGGACAGCTTTCAGGTCTATGGTGAGAAAGGAAATATCTTCAAATAAAAACTAGACAGAAGCATTCTCATAAACTTGTTTGTGATGTGTGAACTCAGCTTAGAGACGTGGATCTTTCTTTTGATAGAGCAGTTCTGAAAAACACGTTTTGTTGAATCTGCAAGTGGACATTTGGATAGATTTGAAGATTTCGTTGGAAACGGGAATATCTTCATATCAAATCTAGACAGAAGCATTCTCAGAAACGTCTTTGTGATGTTTGCATTCAACTCATAGAGTTGAACATTCCGTTTCAGAGAGCAGCTTTGAAGCACTCTTTTTGTAGTATCTGCAAGTGGATATTTGGAGCGCTCTGAGGCCTACGGTGAAAAAGCAAATATCTTCCCATAACCGCTAGACAGAAACATTCTCAGAAACTCCTTTATGACGTATGTACTCAACTAAGAGAGAAGAACCTTCCTTTTGACAGAGCAGTTTTGATACACTCTTTTTGTAGAATCTGCAAGTGGATATTTGGATAGCTGTGAAGATTTCGTTGCAAACGGGAATATCTTCCTATAAAATCTAGACAGAAGCATTCTCAGAAACTGCTCTGTGATGTCTGCATTCAAGTCACAGAGTTCAACATTGCCTTTCATAGAGCAGGTTTGAAACGCTCTTTTTGTAGTATATGGAAGTGGACGTTTCGGACGGTTTGAGGCCCATGGTGATAAAGGGAATATCTTCCCCTACAAGCTAGAAAGAAGCATTCTGTGAAACTTGTTTGTGATGTGTGTACTCAACTAACAGAGTTGAACCTTTCTTTTTACAGAGCAGTGTTGAAACACTCTTTTTGTGGAATCTGCGAGGGGATATTTGGATAGATTTCAGGATTTCGTTGGAAACGGGAATATCTTCATATAAAATCTCGACGGAAGCATTCTCAGAAACTTCTTTGTGATATCTGCATTGAAGTCACAGAGTTGAATATTCCCTTCCACAGAGTAGGTTTGAAAGACTCTTTTTGTAGTATCTGGAAGTGGACATTTGGAGCGCCTTGACGCCTACGGTGAAAAGGGAAATATCTTCCCATAAAAACTAGACAGAAGCAATCTCAGTAATCTTCTTTGGGATATATGTACGCAGCTAACAGAGTTGAACCTTTCTATTGACAGAGCAGTTTTGAAACAGTCTTTCTGTGGAATCTGCAAGTGGATATTTGGATAGCTTGGAGGATTTCGTTGGAAACGGGATTACGTATAAAAAGTAGACAGCCGCATCCTCAGAAACTTCTTTGTGATGTGTGCATTCAAGTCACAGAGTTGAACATTCCCTTTCGTACAGCAGTTTTGAAACACTCTTTCTGTAGTATCTGGAAGTGAACATTAGGACAGCTTTCAGGTCTATGGTGAGAAAGGAAATATCTTCAAATAAAAACTAGACAGAAGCATTCTGATAAACTTGTTTGTGAAGTGTGATCTCAGCTAACAGAGGTGGATCTTTCTTTTGATAGAGCAGTTCTGAAGAACACTTTGTTGAATCTGGAAGTGGACATTTGGATAGATTTGAAGATTTCGTTGGAAACGGGAATATCTTCATATCAAATCTAGACAGAAGCATTCTCAGAAACGTCTTTGTGATGTTTGCATTCAACTCATAGAGTTGAACATTCCGTTTCAGAGAGCAGCTTTGAAGCACTCTTTTTGTAGTATGTGCAAGTGGATATTTGGAGCGCTCTGAGGCCTACGGTGAAAAAGCAAATATCTTCCCATAACCACTAGACAGAAGCATTCTCAGAAACTCCTTTATGACGTATGCACTCACCTAACAGAAAAGAACCTTCCTTTTGACAGAGCAGTTTTGATACACTCTTTTTGTAGAATCTGCAAGTGGATATTTGGATAGCTGTGAAGATTTCGTTGGAAACGGGAATATCTTCCTATAAAATACTAGACAGAAGCATTCTCAGAAACTGCTCTGTGATGTCTGCATTCAAGTCACAGAGTTGAACATTGCCTTTCCTAGAACAGGTTTGAAACGCTCTTTTTGTAGTATATGGAAGTGGACGTTTCGGACGGTTTGAGGCCCATGGTGATAAAGGGAATATCTTCCCCTACAAGCTAGAAGGAAGCATTCTGTGAAACTTGTTTGTGATGTGTGTACTCAACTAACAGAGTTGAACCTTTCTTTTCACAGAGCAGTTTTGAAACACTCTTTTTGTAGAATCTGCGAGGGGAAATTTGGATAGAATTCAGGATTTCGTTGGAAACGGGAATATCTTCATACAAAATCTCGACAGAAGCATTCTCAAAAACTTCTTTGTGATATGTGCATTCAAGTCACAGAGTTGAATATTCCCTTTCACAGAGTAGGTTTGAAACACTCTTTTTGTAGTATCTGGAAGTGGACATTTGGAGCGCCTTGACACCTACCGTGAAAAGGGAAATATCTTCCCATAAAAACTAGACAGAAGCAATCTCAGAATCTTCTTTGGGATATATGCACGCAGCTAACAGAGTTGAACCTTTCTATTGACAGAGCAGTTTTGAAACAGTCTTTCTGTGGAATCTGCAAGTGGATATTTGGATAGCTTGGAGGATTTCGTTGGAAACGGGATTACGTATAAAAAGTAGACAGCAGCATCCTCAGAAACTTCTTTGTGATGTGTGCATTCAAGTCACAGAGTTGAACATTCCTTTTCGTACAGCAGTTTTGAAACACTCTTTCTGTAGTACCTGGAAGTGAACATTAGGACAGCTTTCAGCTCTATGGTGAGAAAGGAAATATCTTCAAATAAAAACTAGACAGAAAGCATTCTCATAAACTTGTTTGTGATGTGTGAACTCAGCTAACAGAGGTGGATCTTTCTTTTGATACAGCAGTTTTGAAAAACACTTTTTGTTGAATCCGCAAGTGGACATTTGGATAGATTTGAAGATTTCATTGGAAACGGGAATATCTTCATATCAAATCTAGACAGAAGCATTCTCAGAAACGTCTTTGTGATGTTTGCATTCAACTCATAGAGTTGAACATTCCGTTTCAGAGAGCAGCTTTGAAGCTCTCTTTTTGTAGTATGTGCAAGTGGATATTTGGAGCGCTCTGAGGCCTACGGTGAAAAAGCAAATATCTTCCCATAACCACTAGACAGAAACATTCTCAGAAACTCCTTTATGACGTATGCACTCACCTAACTGAGAAGAACCTTCCTCTTGACAGAGCAGTTTTGATACACTCTTTTTGTAGAATCTGCAAGTGGATATTTGGATAGCTGTGAAGATTTCGTTGAAAACGGGAATATCTTCCTATAAAATCTAGACAGAAGCATTCTCAGAAACTGCTCTGTGATGTCTGCATTCAAGTCACAGAGTTGAACATTGCCTTTCATAGAGCAGGTTTGAAACGCTCTTTTCGTAGTATATGGAAGTGGACGTTTCGGACGGTTTGAGGCCCATGGTGATAAAGTGAATATCTTCCCCTACCAGCTAGAAGGAAGCATTCTGTGAAACTTGTTTGTGATGTGTGTACTCAACTAACAGAGTTGAACCTTCCTTTTCACAGAGCAGTTTTGAAACACTCTTTTTGTAGAATCTGCGAGGGGATATTTGGATAGATTTCAGGATTTCGTTGGAAACGGGAATATCTTCATATAAAATCTCGACAGAAGCATTCTCAGAAACTTCTTTGTGATATCTGCATTCAAATCACTGAGTTGAATATTCCCTTTCACAGAGTAGGTTTGAAACACTCTTTTTGTAGTATCTGGAAGTGGACATTTGGAGCGCCTTGACGCCTACGGTGAAAAGGGAAATATCTTCCCATAAAAACTAGACAGAAGCAATCTCAGAATCTTCTTTGGGATATATGGACACAGCTAACAGAGTTGAACCTTTCTATTGACAGAGCAGTTTTGAAACAGTCTTTCTGTGGAATCTGCAAGTGGATATTTGGATAGCTTGGAGGATTTCGTTGGAAACGGGATTACGTATAAAAAGTAGACAGCAGCATCCTCAGAAACTTCTTTGTGATGTGTGCATTCAAGTTACAGAGTTGAACATTCCCTTTCGTACAGCAGTTTTGAAACACTCTTTCTGTAGTATCTGGAAGTGAACATTAGGACAGCTTTCAGGTCTATGGTGAGAAAGGAAATATCTTCAAATAAAAACTAGACAGAAGCATTCTCATAAACTTGTTCGTGATGTGTGAACTCAGCTAACACACGTCGATCATTCTTTTGATAGAGCAGTTCTGAAAAACACTTTTTGTTGAATCTGCAAGAGGACATTTGGATAGATTTGAAGATTTCGTTGGAAACGGGAATATCTTCATATCAAATCTAGACAGAAGCATTCTCAGAAACGTCTTTGTGATGTTTGCATTCAACTCATAGAGTTGAACATTCCGTTTCAGAGAGCAGGTTTGAAGCACTCTTTTTGTAGTATGTGCAAGTGGATATTTGGAGCGCTCTGAGGCCTACGGTGAAAAAGCAAATATCTTCCCATAACCACTAGACAGAAACATTCTCAGAAACTCCTTTATGACGTATGCACTCACCTAACAGAGAAGAACCTTCCTTTTGACAGAGCAGTTTTGATACACTCTTTTTGTAGAATCTGCAAGTGGATATTTGGATACCTGTGAAGATTTCGTTGGAAACGGGAATATCTTCCTATAAAATCTATACAGAAGCATTCTCAGAAACTGCTCTGTGATGTCTGCATTCAAGTCACAGAGTTGAACATTGCCTTTCATAGAGCAGGTTTGAAATGCTCTTTTTGTAGTATATGGAAGTGGACGTTTCGGACGGTTTGAGGACCATGGTGATAAAGGGAATATCTTCCCCTACAAGCTAGAAAGAAGCATTCTGTGAAACTTGTTTGTGATGTGTGTACTCAACTAACAGAGTTGAACCTTTCTTTTTACAGAGCAGTTTTGAAACACTCTTTTTGTAGAATCTGCGAGGGGATATTTGGATACATTTCAGGATTTCGTTGGAAACGGGAATATCTTCATATAAAATCTCGACAGAAGCATTCTCAGAAACTTCTTTGTGATATGTGCATTCAAGTCACAGAGTTGAATATTCCCTTTCACGGAGTAGGTTTGAAACACTCTTTTTGTAGTATCTGGAAGTGGACATTTGGAGCGCCTTGACGCCTACGGTGAAAAGGGAAATATCTTCCCATAAAAACTAGACAGAAGCAATCTCAGAATCTTCTTTGGGATATATGCACGCAGCTAACAGAGTTGAACCTTTCTATTGACAGAGCAGTTTTGAAACAGTCTTTCTGTGGAATCTGCAAGTGGATATTTGGATAGCTTGGAGGATTTCGTTGGAAACGGGATTACGTATCAAAAGTAGACAGCAGCATCCTCAGAAACTTCTTTGTGATGTGTGCATTCAAGTCACAGAGTTGAACATTCCCTTTCGTACAGCAGTTTTGAAACACTCTTTCTGTAGTATCTGGAAGTGAACATTAGGACAGCTTTCAGGTCTATGGTGAGAAAGGAAATATCTTCAAATAAAAACCAGACAGAAGCATTCTCATAAACTTGTTTGTGATGTGTGAACTCAGCTAACACACGTGGATCTTTCTTTTGATAGAGCAGTTCTGAAAAACACTTTTTGTTGAATCTGCAAGTGGACATTTGGATAGATTTGAAGATTTCGTTGGAAACGGGAATATCTTCATATCAAATCTAGACAGAAGCATTCTCAGAAACGTCTTTGTGATGTTTGCATTCAACTCATAGAGTTGAACATTCCCTTTCAGAGAGCAGCTTTGAAGCACTCTTTTTGTAGTATGTGCAAGTGGATATTTGGAGCGCTCTGAGGCCTACGGTGAAAAAGCAAATATCATCCCATAACCACTAGACAGAAGCATTCTGATAAACTTGTTTGTGAAGTGTGAACTCAGCTAACGGAGGTGGATTTTTCTTTTGATAGAGCAGTTCTGAAAAACACTTTTTGTTGAATCTGCAAGTGGACATTTGGATAGATTTGAAGATTTCGTTGGAAACGGGAATATCTTCATATCAAATCTAGACAGAAGCATTCTCAGAAACTGCTCTGTGATGTCTGCATTCAAGTCACAGAGTTGAACATTGCCTTTCATAGAGCAGGTTTGAAACGCTCTTTTTGTAGTATATGGAAGTGGACGTTTCGGACGGTTTGAGGCCCATGGTGATAAAGGGAATATCTTCCCCTACAAGCTAGAAAGAAGCATTCTGTGAAACTTGTTTGTGATGTGTGTACTCAACTAACAGAGTTGAACCTTTGTTTTTACAGAGCAGTTTTGAAACACTCTTTTTGTAGAATCTGCGAGGGGATATTTGGATACATTTCAACATTTCGTTGGAAACGGGAATATCTTCATATAAAATCTCGACAGAAGCATTCTCAGAAACTTCCTTGTGATATGTGCATTCAAGTCACAGAGTTGAATATTCCCTTTCACAGAGTAGGTTTGAAACACTCTTTTTGTAGTATCTGGAAGTGGACATTTGGAGCGCCTTGACACCTACGGTGAAAAGGGAAATATCTTCCCATAAAAACTAGACAGAAGCAATCTCAGAATCTTCTTTGGGATATATGCACGCAGCTAACAGAGTTGAACCTTTCTATTGACAGAGCAGTTTTGAAACAGTCTTTCTGTGGAATCTGCAAGTGGATATTTGGATAGCTTGGAGGATTTCGTTGAAAACGGGATTACGTATAAAAAGTAGACAGCAGCATCCTCAGAAACTTCTTTGTGATGTGTGCATTCAAGTCACAGAGTTGAACATTCCGTTTCATACAGCAGTTTTGAAACACTCTTTCTGTAGTATCTGGAAGTAAACATTACGACAGCTTTCAGGTCTATGGTGAGAAAGGAAATATCTTCAAATAAAAACTAGACAGAAGCATTCTCATAAACTTGTTTGTGATGTGTGAACTCAGCTAACAGAGGTGGATCTTTCTTTTGATAGAGCAATTCTGAAAAACACTTTTTGTTGAATCTGCAAGTGGACATTTGGATAGATTTGAAGATTTCGTTGGAAACGGGAATATCTTCATATCAAATCTAGACAGAAGCATTCTCAGAAACGTCTTTGCGATGTTTGCATTCAACTCATAGAGTTGAACATTCCGTTTCAGAGAGCAGCTTTGAGGCACTCTTTTTGTAGTATGTGCAAGTGGATATTTGGAGCGCTCTGAGGCCTACGGTGAAAAAGCAAATATCTTCCTATAACCACTAACAGAAACATTCTCAGAAACTCCTTTATGACGTATGCACTCACCTAACAGAAAAGAACCTTCCTTTTGACAGAGCAGTTTTGATACACTCTTTTTCTAGAATCTGCAAGAGGATATTTGGATAGCTGTGAAGATTTCGTTGGAAACGGGAATATCTTCCTATAAAATCTAGACAGAAAGCATTCTCAGAAACTGCTCTGTGATGTCTGCATTCAAGTCACAGAGTTGAACATTGCCTTTCGTAGAGCAGGTTTGAAACGCTCTTTTTGTAGTATATGGAAGTGGACGTTTCGGACGGTTTGAGGCCCATGGTGATAAAGGGAATATCTTCCCCTACAAGCTAGAAAGAAGCATTCTGTGAAACTTGTTTGTGATGTGTGTACTCAACTAACAGAGTTGAACCTTTCTTTTTGCAGAGCAGTTTTGAAACACTCTTTTTGTAGAATCTGCGAGGGGAAATTTGGATAGATTTCAGGATTTCGTTGGAAACGGGAATATCTTCATACAAAATCTCGACAGAAGCATTCTCAGAAACTTCTTTATGATATCTGCATTCAAGTCACAGAGTTGAATATTCCCTTTCACAGAGTAGGTTTGAAACACTCTTTTTATAGTATCTGGAAGTGGACATTTGGAGCGCCTTGACCCCTACGGTGAAAAGGGAAATATCTTCCCATAAAAACTAGACAGAAGCAATCTCAGAATTTTCTTTGGGATATATGCACACAGCTAACAGAGTTGAACTTTTCTATTGACATAGCAGTTTTGAAACAGTCTTTCTGTGGAATCTGCAAGTGGATATTTGGATAGCTTGGAGGATTTCGTTGGAAATGGGATTACGTATAAAAAGTAGACAGCAGCATCCTCAGAAACTTCTTTGTGATGTGTGCATTCAAGTCACAGAGTTGAACATTCCCTTTCGTGCAGCAGTTTTGAAACACTCTTTCTGTAGTAACTGGAAGTGAACATTAGGACAGCTTTCAGGTCTATGGTGAGAAAGGAAATATCTTCAAATAAAAACTAGACAGAAGCATTCTCATAAACTTGTTTGTGATGTGTGAACTCAGCTAAGAGAGGTGGATCTTTCTTTTGATAGAACAGTTCTGAAAAACACTTTTTGTTGAATCTGCAAGTGGACATTTGGATAGATTTGAAGATTTCGTTGGAAACGGGAATATCTTCATATCAAATCTAGACAGAAGCATTCTCAGAAACGTCTTTGCGATGTTTGCATTCAACTCATAGAGTTGAACATTCCGTTTCAGAGAGCAGCTTTGAGGCACTCTTTTTGTAGTATGTGCAAGTGGATATTTGGAGCGCTCTGAGGCCTAAGGTGAAAAAGCAAATATCTTCCCATAACCACTAGACAGAAACATTCTCAGAAACTCCTTTATGACGTATGCACTCACCTAACAGAGAAGAACCTTCCTTTTGACAGAGCAGTTTTGATACACTCTTTTTGTAGAATCTGCAAGTGGATATTTGGATAGCTGTGAAGATTTCGTTGGAAACGGGAATATCTTCCTATAAAATGCTAGACAGAAGCATTCTCCGAAACTGCTCTGAGATGTCTGCATTCAAGTCACAGAGTTGAACATTGCCTTTCATAGAGCAGGTTTCAAACACTCTTTTTTTAGTATATGGAAGTGGATGTTTCGGACGGTTTGAGGACCATGGTGATAAAGGAAATATCTTCCCCTACATGCTAGAAAGAAGCATTCTGTGAAACTTGTTTGTGATGTGTGTACTCAACTAACAGAGTTGAACCTTTCTTTTTACAGAGCAGTTTTGAAACACTCTTTTTGTAGAATCTGCGTGGGGATATTTGGATAGATTTCAGGATTTCGTTGGAAACGGGAATATCTTCATATAAAATCTCGACAGAAGCATTCTCAGAAACTTCTTTGTGATATGTGCATTCAAGTCACAGAGTTGAATATTCCCTTTCACAGAGTAGGTTTGAAACACTCTTTTTGTAGTATCTGGAAGTGGACATTTGGAGCGCCTTGACGCCTACGGTGAAAAGGGAAATATCTTCCCATGAAAACTAGACAGAAGCAATCTCAGAATCTTCTTTGGGATATATGCACGCAGCTAACAGAGTTGAACCTTTCTATTGACAGAGCAGTTTTGAAACAGTCTTTCTGTGGAATCTGCAAGTGGATATTTGGATAGCTTGGAGGATTTCGTTGGAAACGGGATTACGTATAAAAAGTAGAAAGCCAGCATCCTCAGAAACTTCTTTGTGATGTGTGCATTCAAGTCACAGAGTTGAACATTCCTTTTCGTACAGCAGTTTTGAAACACTCTTTCTGTAGTATCTGGAAGTGAACATTAGGACAGCTTTCAGCTCTATGGTGAGAAAGGAAATATCTTCAAATAAAAACTAGACAGAGCATTCTCCTAAACTTGTTTGTGATGTGTGAACTCAGCTAACAGACGTGGATCTTTCTTTTGATACAGCAGTTTTGAAAAACACATTTTGTTGAATCTGCAAGTGGACATTTGGATAGATTTGAAGATTTCGTTGGAAACGGGAATATCTTCATATCAAATCTAGACAGAAGCATTCTCAGAAACGTCTTTGCGATGTTTGCATTCAACTCATAGAGTTGAACATTCCGTTTCAGAGAGCAGCTTTGAGGCACTCTTTTTGTAGTATGTGCAAGTGGATATTTGGAGCGCTCTGAGGCCTACGGTGAAAAAGCAAATATCTTTCCATAACCACTAGACAGAAACATTCTCAGAAACTTCTTTATGACGTATGTACTCAACTAGCAGAGAAGAACTTTCCTTTTGACAGAGCATTTTTGATACACTCTTTTTGTAGTATCTGCAAGTGGATATTTGGATAGCTGTGAAGATATCGTTGGAAACGGGAATATCTTCCTATAAAGTCTGGACAGAAGCATTCTCAGAAACTGCTCTGTGATGTCTGCATTCAAGTCACAGAGTTGAACATTGCCTTTCATAGAGCAGGTTTGAAACACTCTTTTTGTAGTATTTGGAAGTGGACGTTTCGGACGGTTTGAGGCCCATGGTGATAAAGGGAATATCTTCCCCTACAAGCTAGAAAGAAGCATTCTGTGAAACTTGTTTGTGATGTGTGTACTCAACTAACAGAGTTGAACCTTTCTTTTCACAGAGCAGTTTTGAAACACTCTTTTTGTAGAATCTGCGAGGGGATATTTCGATAGATTTCAGCATTTCGTTGGAAACGGGAATATCTTCATATAAAATCTCGACAGAAGCATTCTCAGAAACTTCTTTGTGATATGTGCATTCAGGTCACAGAGTTGAATATTCCCTTTCACAGAGTAGGTTTGAAACACTCTTTTTGTAGTATCTGGAAGTGGACATTTGGAGCGCCTTGACACCTACGGTGAAAAGGGAAATATCTTCCCATAAAAACTAGACAGAAGCAATCTCAGAATCTTCTTTGGGATATATGCACGCAGCTAACAGAGTTGAACCTTTCTATTGACTGAGCAGATTTGAAACAGTCTTTCTGTGGAATCTGCAAGTGGATATTTGGATAGATTGGTGGATTTCGTTGGAAACGGGATTACGTATAAAAAGTAGACAGCAGCATCCTCAGAAACTTCTTTGTGATGTGTGCATTCAAGTCACAGAGTTGAACATTCCCTTTCGTACAGCAGTTTTGAAACACTCTTTCTGTAGTATCTGGAAGTGAACATTAGGACAGCTTTCAGGTCTATGGTGAGAAAGGAAATATCTTCAAATAAAAACTAGACAGAAGCATTTTCATAAACTTGTTTGTGATGTGTGAACTCAGCTAACAGAGGTGGATCTTTCTTTTGATAGAGCAGTTCTGAAAAACACTTTTTGTTGAATCTGCAAGTGGACATTTGGATAGCTTTGAAGATTTCGTTGGAAACGGGAATATCTTCATATCAAATCTAGACAGAAGCATTCTCAGAAACGTCTTTGTGATGTTCGCATTCAACTCATAGAGTTGAACATTCCGTTTCAGAGAGCAGGTTTGAAGCACTCTTTTTGTAGTATGTGCAAGTGGATATTTGGAGCGCTCTGAGGCCTACGGTGAAAAAGCAAATATCTTCCCATAACCACTAGACAGAAACATTCTCAGAAACTCCTTTATGACGTATGTACTCAACTAACAGAGAAGAACCTTCCTTTTGACAGAGCAGTTTTGATACACTCTTTTTGTAGAATCTGCAAGTGGATATTTGGATAGCTGTGAAGATTTCGTTGGATACGGGAATATCTTCCTATAAAATCTAGACAGAAGCATTCTCAGAACCTGCTCTTTGATGTCTGCATTCAAGTCACAGAGTTGAACATTGCCTTTCCTAGAGCAGGTTTGAAACGCTCTTTTTGTAGTATATGGAAGTGGACGTTTCGGACGGTTTGAGGCCCATGGTGATAAAGGGAATATCTTCCCCTACAAGCTAGAAAGAAGCATTCTGTGAAACTTGTTTGTGATGTGTGTACTCAACTAACAGAGTTGAACCTTTCTTTTTACAGAGCAGTTTTGAAACACTCTTTTTGTAGAATCTGCGAGGGGATATTTGAATAGATTTCAGGATTTCGTTGGAAACGGGAATATCTTCATAGAAAATCTCGACAGAAGCATTCTCAGAAACTTCTTTGTGATATCTCCCTTTAAGTCACAGAGTTGAATATTCCCTTTCACAGAGTAGGTTTGAAACACTCTTTTTGTAGTATCTGGAAGTGGACATTTGGAGCGCCTTGACACCTACGGTGAAAAGGGAAATATCTTCCCATAAAAACTAGACAGAAGCAATCTCAGAATCTTCTTTGGGATATATGCACGCAGCTAACAGAGTTGAACCTTTCTATTGACAGAGCAGTTTTGAAACAGTCTTACTGTGGAATCTGCAAGTGGATATTTGGATAGCTTGGAGGATATCTTTGGAAACGGGATTACGTATAAAAAGTAGACAGCAGCATCCTCAGAAACTTCTTTGTGATGTGTGCATTCAAGTCACAGAGTTGAACATTCCCTTTCGTACAGCAGTTTTGAAACACTCTTTCTGTAGTATCTGGAAGTGAACATTAGGACAGCTTTCAGCTCTATGGTGAGAAAGGAAATATCTTCAAATAAAAACTAGACAGAAGCATTCTCATAAACTTGTTTGTGAGGTGTGAACTCAGCTAACAGAGGTGGATCTTACTTTTGATAGAGCAGTTCTGAAAAACACTTTTTGTTGAATCTGCAAGTGGACATTTGGATACATTTGAAGATTTCGTTGGAAACGGGAATATCTTCATATCAAATCTAGACAGAAGCATTCTCAGAAACGTCTTTGCGATGTTTGCATTCAACTCATAGAGTTGCACATTCCGTTTCAGAGAGCAGCTTTGAGGCACTCTTTTTGTAGTATGTGCAAGTGGATATTTGGAGCCCTCTGAGGCCTACGGTGAAAAAGCAAATATCTTCCCATAACCACTAGACAGAAAACATTCTCAGAAACTCCTTTATGACGTATGCACTCACCTAACAGAGAAGAACCTTCCTTTTGACAGAGCAGTTTTGATACACTCTTTTTGTAGAATCTGCAAGTGGATATTTGGATACCTGTGAAGATTTCGTTGGAAACGGGAATATCTTCCTATAAAATCTAGACAGAAGCATTCTCAGAAACTGCTCTGTGATGTCTGCATTCAAGTCACAGAGTTGAACATTGCCTTTCATAGAGCAGGTTTGAAACGCTCTTTTTGTACTATATGGAAGTAGACGTTTCGGACGGTTTGAGGCCCATGGTGATAAAGGGAATATCTTCCCCTGCAAGCTAGAAAGAAGCATTCTGTGAAACTTGTTTGTGATGTGTGTACTTAACTAACAGAGTTGAACCTTTCTTTTTACAGAGCAGTGTTGAAACACTCTTTTTGTAGAATCTGCGAGGGGATATTTGGATAGATTTCAGGATTTCGTTGGAAACGGGAATATCTTCATATAAAATCTCGACAGAAGCATTCTCAGAAACTTCTTTGTGATATCTGCATTCAAGTCACAGAGTTGAATATTCCCTTCCACAGAGTAGGTTTGAAACACTCTTTTTGTAGTATCTGGAAGTGGACATTTGGAGCGCCTTGACGCCTACGGTGAAAAGGGAAATATCTTCCCATAAAAACTAGACAGAAGCAATCTCAGAATCTTCTTTGGGATATATGCACGCAGCTAACAGAGTTGAACCTTTCTATTGACAGAGCAGTTTTGAAACAGTCTTTCTGTGGAATCTGCAAGTGGATATTTGGATAGCTTGGAGGATTTCGTTGGAAACGGGATTAAGTATAAAAAGTATACAGCAGCATCCTCAGAAACTTCTTTGTGATGTGTGCATTCAAGTCACAGAGTTGAACATTCCCTTTCGTACAGCAGTTTTGAAACACTCTTTCTGTAGTATCTGGAAGTGAATATTAGGACAGCTTTCAGCTCTATGGTGAGAAAGGAAATATCTTCAAATAAAAACTAGACAGAAGCATTCTGATAAACTTGTTTGTGAAGTGTGAACTCAGCTAACAGAGGTGGATCTTTCTTTTGATAGAGCAGTTCTGAAAAACACTTTGTTGAATCTGCAAGTGGATATTTGGATAGATTTGAAGATTTCGTTGGAAACGGGAATATCTTCATATCAAATCTAGACAGAAGCATTCTCAGAAACGTCTTTGTGATGTTTGCATTCAACTCATAGAGTTGAACATTCCCTTCCAGAGAGTAGCTTTGAAGCACTCTTTTTGTAGCATGTGCAAGTGGACATTTGGAGCGCCCTGAGGCCTACGGGGAAAAAGAAAATATCTTCCCATAACCACTAGACAGAAACATTCTCAGAAACTCCTTTATGACGTATGCACTCAACTAACAGAAAAGAACCTTCCTTTTGACAGAGCAGTTTTGATACACTCTTTTTGTAGAATCTGCAAGTGGATATTAGGATAGCTGTGAAGATTTCGTTGGAAACGGGAATATCTTCCTATAAAATCTAGACAGAAGCATTCTCAGAAACTGCTCTGTGATGTCTGCATTCAAGTCACAGAGTTGAACATTGCCTTTCATAGAGCAGGTTTGAAACGCTCTTTTTGTAGTATATGGAAGTGGATGTTTCGGACGGTTGGAGGCCCATGGTGATAAAGGGAATATCTTCCCCTACAAGCTAGAAAGAAGCATTCTGTGAAACTTGTTTGTGATGTGTGTACTCAACTAACAGAGTTGAACCTTTCTTTTTACAGAGCAGTTTTGAAACACTCTTTTTGTAGAATCTGCGAGGGGATATTTGGATAGATTTCAGGATTTCGTTGGAAACGGAAATATCTTTATATAAAATCTCGACAGAAGCATTCTCAGAAACTTCTTTGTGATATGTGCATTCAAGTCACAGAGTTGAATATTCCCTTTCACAGAGTAGGTTTGAAACACTCTTTTTGTAGTATCTGGAAGTGGACATTTGGAGCGCCTTGACGCCTATGGTGAAAAGGGAAATATCTTCCCATAAAAACTAGACAGAAGCAATCTCAGAATCTTCTTTGGGATATATGCACGCAGCTAACAGAGTTGAACCTTTCTATTGACAGAGCAGTTTTGAAACAGTCTTTCTGTGGAAACTGCAAGTGGATATTTGGATAGCTTGGAGGATTTCGTTGGAAACGGGATTACGTATAAAAAGTAGACAGCAGCATCCTCAGAAACATCCTTGTGATGTGTGCATTCACGTCACAGAGTTGAACATTCCCTTTCGTACAGCAGTTTTGAAACACTGTTTCTGTAGTATCTGGAAGTGAACTTTAGGACAGCTTTCAGGTCTATAGTGAGAAAGGATATATCTTCAAATAAAAACTAGACAGAAGCATTCTGATAAACTTGTTTGTGAAGTGTGATCTCAGCTAACAGAGGTGGATCTTTCTTTTGATAGAGCAGTTCTGAAAAACACTTTGTTGAATCTGCAAGTGGACATTTGGATAGATTTCAAGATTTCGTTGGAAACGGGAATATCTTCATATCAAATCTAGACAGAAGCATTCTCAGAAACGTCTTTGTGATGTTTGCATTCAATTCATAGAGTTGAACATTCCGTTTCAGAGAGCAGCTTTGAGGCACTCTTTTTGTAGTATGTGCAAGTGGATATTTGGAGCGCTCTGAGGCCTAAGGTGAAAAAGCAAATATCTTCCCATAACCACTAGACAGAAACATTCTCAGAAACTTCTTTATGACGTAAGTACTCAACTAAAACAGAAGAACCTTCCTTTTGACAGAGCAGTTTTGATACACTCCATTGGAGAATCTGCAAGTGGATATTTGGATAGCTGTGAAGATTTCGTTGGAAACGGGAATACCTTCCTATAAAGTCTAGACAGAAGCATTCTCAGAAACTGCTCTGTGATGTCTGCATTCAAGTCACAGAGTTGAACATTGCCTTTCGTAGAGCAGGTTTGAAACGCTCTTTTTGTAGTATATGGAAGTGGATGTTTCGGACGGTTGGAGGCCCATGGTGATAAAGGGAATATCTTCCCCTACAAGCTAGAAAGAAGCATTCTGTGAAACTTGTTTGTGATGAGTGTACTCAACTAACAGAGTTGAACCTTTCTTTTTACAGAGCAGTTTTGAAACACTCTTTTTGTAGAATCTGCGAGGGGATATTTGGATACATTTCAGGATTTCGTTGGAAACGGGAATATCTTCATATAAAATCTCGACAGAAGCATCCTCAGAAACTTCTTTGTGATGTGTGCATTCAAGTCACAGAGTTGAATATTCCCTTTCACAGAGTAGGTTTGAAACACTCTTTTTGTAGTATCTGGAAGTGGACATTTGGAGCGCCTTGACACCTACGGTGAAGAGGGAAATATCTTCCCATAAAAACTAGACAGAAGCAATCTCAGAATCTTCTTTGGGATATATGCACGCAGCTAACAGAGTTGAACCTTTCTATTGACAGAGCAGTTTTGAAACAGTCTTTCTGTGGAATCTGCAAGTGGATATTTGGATAGCTTGGAGGATTTCGTTGGAAACGGGATTACGTATAAAAAGTAGACAGCAGCATCCTCAGAAACTTCTTTGTGATGTGTGCATTCAAGTCACAGAGTTGAACATTCCCTTTCGTACAGCAGTATTGAATCACTCTTTCTGTAGTATCTGGAAGTGAACATTAGGACAGCTTTCAGGTCTATGGTGAGAAAGGAAATATCTTCAAATAAAAACTAGACAGAAGCATTCTCATAAACTTGTTTGTGATGTGTGAACTCAGCTAACAGAGGTGGATCTTTCTTTTGATAGAGCAGTTCTGAAAAACACTTTTTGTTGAATCTGCAAGTGGACATTTGGATAGATTTGAAGATTTCGTTGGAAACGGGAATATCTTCATATCAAATCTAGACAGAAGCATTCTCAGAAACGTCTTTGTGATGTTTGCATTCAACCCATAGAGTTGAACATTCCCTTTCAGAGAGCAGCTTTGAAGCACTCTTTTTGTAGTATGTGCAAGGGGATATTTGGAGCGCTCTGAGGCCTAAGGTGAAAAAGCAAATATCTTCCCATAACCACTAGACAGAAACATTCTCAGAAACTCCTTTATGACGTATGCACTCACCTAACAGAGAAGAACCTTCCTTTTGACAGAGCAGTTTTGATACACTCTTTTTGTAGAATCTGCAAGTGGATATTTGGATAGCTGTGAAGATTTCGTTGGAAACGGGAATATCTTCCTATAAAATCTAGACAGAAGCATTCTCAGAAACTGCTCTGTGATGTCTGCATTCAAGTCACAGAGTTGAACATTGCCTTTCATAGAGCAGCTTTGAAACGCTCTTTTTGTAGTATATGGAAGTGGACGTTTCAGACGGTTTGAGGCCCATGGTGATAAAGGGAATATCTTCCCCTACAAGCTAGAAAGAAGCATTCTGTGAAACTTGTTTGTGATGTGTGTACTCAACTAACAGAGTTGAACCTTTCTTTTTACAGAGCACTTTTGAAACACTCTTTTTGTAGAATCTGCGAGGGGATATTTGGATACATTTCAGCATTTCGTTGGAAACGGGAATATCTTCATATAAAATCTCGACAGAAGCATTCTCAGAAACTTCTTTGTGATATCTGCATTCAAGTCACAGAGTTGAATATTCCCTTTCACAGAGTAGGTTTGAAACACTCTTTTTGTAGTATCTGGAAGTGGACATTTGGAGCGCCTTAACACCTACGGTGAAAAGAGAAATATCTTCCCATAAAAACTAGACAGAAGCAATCTCAGAATCTTCTTTGGGATATATGCACGCAAGCTAACAGAGTTGAACCTTTCTATTGACAGAGCAGTTTTGAAACAGTCTTTCTGTGGAATCTGCAAGTGGATATTTGGATAGCTTGGAGGATTTCGTTGGAAAAGGGATTACGTATAAAAAGTAGACAGCAGCATCCTCAGTAAACTTCTTTGTGATGTGTGCATTCAAGTCACATAGTTGAACATTCCCTTTCGTACAGCAGTTTTGAAACACTCTTTCTGTAGTATCTGGAAGTGAACATTAGGACAGCTTTCAGCTCTATGGTGAGAAAGGAAATATCTTCAAATAAAAACTAGACAGAAGCATTCTCATAAACTTGTTTGTGATGTGTGAACTCAGCTAACAGAGGTGGATCTTTCTTTTGATAGAGCAGTTCTGAAAAACACTTTTTGTTGAATCTGCAAGTGGACATTTGGATAGATTTGAAGATTTCGTTGGAAACGGGAATATCTTCATATCAAATCTATACAGAAGCATTCCCAGAAACGTCTTTGTGATGTTTGCATTCAACTCATAGAGTTGAACATTCCGTTTCAGAGAGCAGCTTTGAAGCACTCTTTTTGTAGCATGTGCAAGGGGATATTTGGAGAGCTCTGAGGCCTACGGTGAAAAAGCAAATATCTTCCCATAACCACTAGACAGAAACATTCTCAGAAACTCCTTTATGACGTATGTACTCAACTAACAGAGAAGAACCTTCCTTTTGACAGAGCAGTTTTGATACACTCTTTTTGTAGAATCTGCAAGTGGATATTTGGATAGCTGTGAAGATTTCGTTGGAAACGGGAATATCTTCCTATAAAATCTAGACAGAAGCATTCTCATAAACTGCTCTGTGATGTCTGCATTCAAGTCACAGAGTTGAACATTGCCTTTCATAGAGCAGGTTTGAAACGCTCTTTTTGTAGTATATGGAAGTAGACGTTTTGGACGGTTTGAGGCCCATGGTGATAAAGGGAATATCTTCCCCTACAAGCTAGAAAGAAGCATTCTGTGAAACTTGTTTGTGATGTGTGTACTCAACTAACAGAGTTGAACCTTTCTTTTTACAGAGCAGTTTTGAAACACTCTTTTTGTAGAATCTGCGAGGGGATATTTGGATAGATTTCAGGATTTCGTTGGAAACGGGAATATCTTCATATAAAATCTCGACAGAAGCATTCTCAGAAACTTCTTTGTGATATCTGCCTTCAAGTCACAGAGTTGAATATTCCCTTTCACAGAGTAGGTTTGAAACACTCTTTTTGTAGTATCTGGAAGTGGACATTTGGAACGCCTTGGCGCCTACGGTGAAAAGGTAAATATCTTCCCATAAAAACTAGACAGAAGCAATCTCAGAATCTTCTTTGGGATATATGCACGCAGCTAATAGAGTTGAACCTTTCTATTGACAGAGCAGTTTTGAAACAGTCTTTCTGTGGAATCTGCAAGTGGATATTTGGATAGCTTGGGGGATTTCGTTGGAAACGGGATTACGTATAAAAAGTAGACAGCAGCATCCTCAGAATCTTCCTTGTGATGTGTGCTTTCAAGTCACAGAGTTGAACATTCCCTTTCGTACAGCAGTTTTGAAAAACTCTTTCTGTAGTATCTGGAAGTGAACTTTAGGAGAGCTTTCAGGTCTATAGTGAGAAAGGATATATCTTCAAATAAAAACTAGACAGAAGCATTCTCATAAACTTGTTCGTGATGTGTGAACTCAGCTAACACACGTGGATCTTTCTTTTGATAGAGCAGTTCTGAAAAACACTTTGTTGAATCTGCAAGTGGACATTTGGATAGATTTGAAGATTTCGTTGGAAACGGGAATATCTTCATATCAAATCAAGACAGA